>NC_000011.10:30060000-30211515 GCF_000001405.40 Homo sapiens | reverse complement strand
TAAATACACATACATATATATACACATATATACATATATACTTTTTTTCTCTCCATCTTGTGCTTACAGGAAAATATATATTCTTTTAAGATAGTCACTGTAAATTTTCAGCAGCATATAGGAGGGTGCTTGTCATCTTAATTTCATCAATTTGAGTGCATGTATACATGCGTGTATATTTGCCAGTTTGTGAGATAAAAAATTATAGTTGGCATTTTTTCATAACAACTAGTGAACATTTTCTCATTTGTTTATTTGCATTTCTTTGGAGAATTGTTGGTTCGTCTCATTTGGTCACTTTTACATGTGCAAAAGAATTACATTTATTTTAATAAAGAATTTTAATATAGCCAAATATAAGTCATTTTCTTCATAATTTTCTTTTAATGAGTCAATGGAAATGAGTTAAAATTCAATTCGACTAGATTACCATGTGCTAGGTTAAGACGAGCAATACTTGGTACCTGCTTTTGGGAAAGTTATAATCCATCAAGATAGAGAAATACATGGATAACAGATAATAATGCAATATGATATGGGCTACAGGATGTTCTGCCTGCTATAAAATCACAGAGAAAGGAGCAACCAATCCCTAGGGTCAGGAGAAGGGTCACAGCAGCCTTCTCCAAAGATGTTCACAGATATTTTCTAATAGGTACCTGGGTATATATGTTCAGGGGAGAGGTGGAGTGTGATCTTCAAGGACATCTTAGAACAAGAAGACTGCCAGGAAACAAAGCTGAAAGGCCTTTAAAACCCAGTTTCTTGGTATCAAACATGTAGCTGAGGTCATCCCTGGGTTTCTTCAGAAGGTGCTTGAGAACTAATGTCTGTAGTTTTCATTTCCTCTAGCACTTGACTATGCAAAGAGCTCTATCAAGTAAATTACAGAAGACAGACCCCACCTGTTCAGCCTGAGGTGCTCAGGTGCCTTCGAATCAGCTGCAGAGGATGAGTCACTGAGCATTCCCTGGTACTTTGTTGCCTGGAAATGGGAAAGACGACCATGACTGTAGCATTTTGAAGGAATCCAATTAGCAGTTTAGTTGGAACTATCCCAAAGCTCACCTCCAGGCCATTTGCATTCTTGACCTTTGAAGTAAGTTGCAGTCTAAATTTCCAAGGTGAGGTGATGGGTGGGAAGCCCAATCTGAAGGCCCTGGCACCTCTGTTTTGACTGTGCTAGGTTGTTATCAAAGGCTTTAGAGAACAGAAATCAAGGGGAGGTGTCCTAACGGGCTCGAGAGGCAGTGAGATGTTGATGATGGTTTAGATAGATGAGGGTGGTGAGTAAGGGGGAAAAGGGCAAGGTATACCCGTGATTCAAACTCATTAACAGGACATTAGGACCAACATATAATATATGACGAGTGTTGGTCTTAAACTTAACAAACCTGTTTCATGAACTTCAAGGATGGGGAACAGTTTTGCCTTGTTATTTCTTGAACAGTCAGCAAGCATTTACTGAACTGATAAACCAGATCCATTCTAGGCACTGCTTATGACCATGAGAGTTAGACTTCACAAAGAAATATTCTTTAAAATGTAAACTGGCATTTGGAATCAGAAATTCAGGTAGCAACATCAGAGGCTGTCTTATTTCCTTTGTATACTTGGAGTTCTGAGGTTTAAGACTTTAAAACTGCAATTAAGACTTCTAGTTTTTCCTAGGAGATTTACCCCAGTGCAGGTGGCTGCCACCAGGTGAGAGATAGAACTAGATATTGCCATCAGCTGCTCAGCCTTCCTGCTCTCTGGCAGGTGCAGCTGAACACGCAGCCGCCACAACCTGGAGGCTCACTGTGCCTATCCATAAATGAAATGCGATGGACAGCAAAAATGAGCCCTATTACTAAATCACAGATTCCTACTGCTGAGAGCACAGTTGCAAAACAAGAAAATACCCAAGTGTTTAAATTATCTATTACCTATTTGAGATGATAATTCTGACTTTGTTCCCTGATAGCATTTTACTTTTATCCAAAGCCATTTTTCTGCAGAAACTTTCCCCACATTTGCACTGCCTATATTTTGTTAGTTTCCCTTCACTTGTATACCATTAATTTAGATAAAAGTCCTTATTAGACGAATTCACCTAGGTATACTTTTTTTTTTTTTTTTTTTTTTGAGATGGAGTCTCACTCTGTCACCCAGGCTGGAGTGCCGTGGTGCGATCTCGGCTCACTGCAACATCCGCTTCCCGGGTTCAAGTGATTCTCTTCCCTCAGCCTCCTGAGTAGCTGGAACTATAGGTGTGTGCCACCATGCCCAGCTAATTTTTTGTATTTTTAGTAGAGACGGGTTTTCACCTTGTTAGCCAGGATGGTCTCTATCTCCTGAGCCAGTATACTGTTTTTGAAGATTCTGTAAATCCATTTTGGAATAAAGTGGGGTGCAAATAATTAGTGGTGCTCTGTCTATGTCAAGCTCTGGCTCTTCCAGGTGTGGACTGACACCGAATGCATCTGAGAATTTCTGGCCCTTAGAAGAGGTACCAGGAAGAGCACACATAGCCAAGGCTGAGGGTGGAGCTTGGGTGATACTCTAGGATTCTGTAACTCCTCCCTCAGAAGAGCATGGTATATGCAGTACAGTGTTTAGGAAGCAGGAAGGGTCCTAGCGTCCGGGCCCTTCTGCCATCCTTGGGGTCTTAGAGAAACTACTGGAGAAGGAATAGAGAACAGGGCTTGTCAGAGGTGGGGGAGCTTTTGAGACAATCTGTTCTAGTAGAACCAATTCCTGCAAGTAGGCTTCTCCTTCTTGCTCAAGGCCTGTGGTTGACGTCTCAGTCAATCATGATGTCTCCACTTGCCTTTGTCCATTGAATCTCAACACTTCCTGAGAACCCTTCCAGGCCAACACACCAGACAATAACCCCTGTAGCCAAGATGGAGGGAGACGCATGCTCAGGTCTCCCTTTGGGAAAGGACTTGCTGCCTACCTGCCAAGAGTAGAGTTACTAGCAGCCTTCAGCTATTAGGTCCTTCAGGATCTGTCTCGGCTTTTGAGTTGAGGTTCTTCCATGGGCATCTCCTTTCCAATGCTTGAGCAGGGCTGTGGTGCAAGGACCCAGCCATTTCTCTCCAATGTGGGACACCTCTAAAGGACAATCTGTCCTCCAGAGCTCCCAGATAGGCAAGTAAAGATCACTCTCCCTGCCCATTCCTTCCTTTTCTTCATTTTCCTTTACAGGTATCACTCTCTAATAAATATTTTGCATCCCTATTTATCATGTCTGTACCCCTAAAACCCCAACTAGTTATAAGTACTAATCAGCTTAGCAAGAAAGACACACCAACATTTATGGAACATTTATGTGCTAGAAATTATTCTAAGTAATCAACATGTATTCTCTTTTTAAATCCTGGAACAATGATATGTGCTAAGTACTATTATTATTTATATTTTAATGATGAGGAGACAGGCACAGAAGACTTTAGTGACTTGTTCAAGGTCAAACAACTAGGTGGAATCAAGATTTGAGTGTCAACAATCTGACTCCAGGGCTCCTAATTGCTTTGCTGAGCTATCTTATTTGCCATTCCTAGGCTAGCTTAACCACTTTACTCATCTCTTGCTACTACTATTTAAGCAAGGAGATTTGCTCTTGGGGTAAACAGTTAGTATATATCTGGGAGAAGATGGGTCCTTTCATTCTTTTTCCGGTATTTCCAGCTCATGGTATGTTGCCTAGCACATAGCAGGAGCCCAATAAAGTTTTGATGATGGATGAAGACAGAAGAATTGAAAATCCTATCATCCTGACTGAGATAAAAGAACATGGTAGGAAAAATGATAGTTTACTGTGAATGATAGTTTACTATGATGGTGACTGCATATGGGGTAGGCGTGACAGGAAAAGAGACAATTTATAGACTGTAAAAACTCTTTGTGACTTATGATTTTAGATTCACTCTAATTTCAGCATAGCATCAGCCCTCATTATTCTGGCTGGTGTGCCAATGTAGGAGAAATTATAAAGCAGTTAATTCTAATTTGTCTGAAGCTTAAGATACAGTTGTATGAATCTATACTTTTCTTTAACCAAAACAGAACAGTATCCTTTAAAACTTAACTGAGATGTTGAAGGTTAACAGGTATCTCTGAGAAGAAAGTTGTCTTTGTGTTTTAAAACATGGTTGGTAGTCATTCAATTACCTTCTTCTCATCCTTATTCTGCAATCCATACTGGGTTGGTAACTCTGTAGGTACTGGTTTTATAATTAATATTATGTATTTAGTAGGCAATAAATTTTTATTGTATTTTAATAAATTAACCTTGCTAACTAATGTGGAAAACTATAATACCATAAGTGTAGGGAATAATAGAGTCGATACCTTAAAGATTATTAAAGGCAAAATGTTTTTATCTCAAAAAAGTAAATAAGTAAAATTCAAAAATGCCTAGAGATCAACCCTAGGTGGCCGCTTAGGGATGGAATTTCTGGGGTTCTGCTAATGAAATTAATTCATGATGTTTTCTCAGTTTGCATACTTATAAATCTATATGGTGTCACAGATGTGTCTTTGAAAGTGCAATCCCTTTTGAGACCTGTAATGACCGAGCAGGTATGAGTTTCGGCTGCTCTTCTGTGGCTTCCTTTTTTTAGTCTTCTCACGGCTGTCTTAACACATTTGCTGTTCTGTCTTCTGGGGCTATAAACACCCAGAGAGTAGAATCTATATATTATCGTTTCTCCAGCTGTTTCCTAATCGGCTTAAAATGATGCACTTCTGTAAACTTTTGTTGAGCAGTTGAAAAAGGACAGCCTGAGGTATCTGAGGGGATTCAGGTTTTGGGACTGAAATTCACTTTTGTGTTTCACTAGCTGTGTGACCACAGGCCACTCACTTCTCTGAGTCTCTGAAGCATTTTAGATTGATGAGAAATAATATTCTTTTGTTATAAGGTTATGTGAAGATAGATTCATAGGATATATGTATTATCTGGCTCATAATAGAGGCTTAATATTCATCCCTTGTGTCTGTGGTGGAAATATTGTCTTAAGGCTTTACTTTCATTGTGTTCTTAATAGTCAAAAAAGTGGTTTTCCCCTTTAAAGAACACACAGGAGATCCACTTCCTCTTTGGCTGCCTTGTTTTTCTTTCACTGATTTGTCAATTTCCATCACTGATAGTGAAGCTTTTTGTGCTAAGGCTCTTCTCTTTATAGTACAGATAATAGGAAATGCTGCAACCAAATCCAAAGGGACCAGAACCAAAAAGGAGACTTTCTAATTTGAGATTTGACACCCATTTCAGCTGAGAATAAGGTTTGGTAAATATTTAAAATGGATTACATTTCTTGAAAGGACTTCTGCTGAATTTTATAAAGGAAAGATCAAAGCCTTCAGGTTTAAGTTTGATTCTACATATTTTCTACTTATGGTGAAATCCTCTGAGCCTTTTTCTCCTATAGAAAAGTTTTAATAAATCCTTGCTGAACCATTTCCACTAGAGAATTTGTCTCTATTACATTGAGGAGACTGGATATTTTAATTCTCACAGTTGATTGAATTCCAGTTCCGGAGCATCTAAATACTCTATCTTCTAGAATATCATCAATTAGTTAATTATATTTCATGATCCTAGTTTATATAAAATTCATACAAGGAAGACATTTGACTAATTTATCCTTAATACCCTTATAACATTGTTCTAAGAGTACAAATATAGCCTAGAATGTAGTAATGATGATAATAATAACAGCAACATTGGCCAGGTGCAGTGGCTCATGCCTGTAATCCCAGCACTTTGGGAGGCTGAGAGGTGGGAGGATTGCTTGAGCCCACGAGTTTGAGACCAGCCTAGACAATATAGTCAAGCCTCTTCTTTACAAAAAATATAAAAATTAGCCAGGCATGGCTGCATGCACCTGTGGTCCCAGCTACTTGTGAGACTGAGGTGGGAGGATCACTTGAGCCCAGGAGTTTGAGGCTACAGCGAGCTGTGATCATGCCACTGCACTCCAGCTTGGGTGACAGAGGAGACCCTGTCTCTGAAAAATAAATAAACTTTCTTTGTATCTAAGGTTTTTGTAAGAAAATGGTGACAATAACTGTAGCCAAACTATCTCAAAGCATTGTCACCTGTGTCAATGGACACAGAAAGGTTTTGAACAATATCATACAGAACATATTACAGTAGTGAATGCCTTAACACCCTTTCTTCACGATAGAATTCCAATTTGATTTTGATAAAGGCCTTGAAGGAAGCAGTACCCTATGTTATTTCTACACATAATCACCCTAAAACATTGTAGAAAAAAATTTGTACACAAGCCAACAACCTGATACACACATCATCCTCAATATTCAGAGATTAACATGTTAAGAAGAATGTTAACACTTTCAAAAGATTAAAATATTAATAATGTAATTATTGCCTGTGAATGTATTTGGGAAACATAGCATCAAAATCAAACAAATCATTCTTAAATCTTCAAAACCCAGTGTGTGGCAGGTCTAATCCTCCTGCTAAATGGTTAGATTGAACACAAATAGGGAGTGAGAATGGTTACATTTCTATTGACCCTGAAATAAATATCAAAGAGCAGAGTGCTATTAAATTCTAGACATAATAATCCACTGTACAAAACTACCTGAATCCTGAGTAACTGTTTCTCCTTGTAATAAGCAACCACCATTAAAGGGGATACGACACGTCTGACAGATGTGAAAGCCACTAAGTCATCAAAGAAAACTTATCCCTTCCCCCAAACAGGTGAGTCAATAGCATCGACATTTTCAAATGTCAGCTGCTGGATTATTATTTAATTCTGTTTGGAGCAAAACAGCATTAGTTCATTGATTCAAAAAGCCATTTTTTGAGCACCTGCTAGGTACCAGGAACCATGGCAGGCTTCAAGAGGTGCCAACGATAAATAGCAGACAAGATTTTCCCTAAAGAGTCCACAGCCCAGTGCAGCAGATAGACATATGCAGAAATCAACTTGGTATAGAAAAATTGCTAAGGGTTTTGGTGTCCTTGAAGGGTGTGCAGGATGAATGGGAAGGGCATTCCTGTGTGAGGGGGTAACATGCACAAAAGGAAGAGACCACAGAGCTTTGGGTCAGAGCTAGGGAACAATGCTGTGTCACTAATGCTGAAGGATGCTGAAGGGTACTAAAGGTACATAAAGTTTAAAAGGGAATTAGAATCATACTCTGGAGGGCCTTGGATGATAGGCTGAGCTTACATTTTGTTTTATTGCCAGTGGAAGCCATGGTGGGAGGTTTGAGCTGAGGTTGGAAGTTTCATCCAAGAGGGGCCTTAGATGGGTTGTTTGTAGGGTACATTTTCAGGACCTGCAGTTTGACACTGTTGACCACCCTTCTTGAAACTTGCATGTCCTTATTCTCTTCTAGTCTTCCTCCTGCTGCTTGGCCCACAGCTTGTCTATCTCTTTCTCAGGCTTTTTCCTTCTGCTTCCTTCTGTCATTGACTTTTCTCATGCTATGAGCTCTCCTAGGGTGAGCTCATTCATATTTATAGATGAAAGACTCTAACGCATTTACCTCCCAGCAAGTGTACTAAACTGAACTGCAGAGTCATGTTTCTGATAACCTTTAAAAATCTTCCTCCACCTGCCCAGCATGGGTAGACTTTGTTATGGGCTGAACTGTGTCCACCCTACCCCCCATATTTGTATGTTGAAGTCCTAATCTCTATTACCTCTGAATGTGACTATATTTGGAAATAGGTTCTTTAAAGAGGTAATTAAGTTAAACTAAGGTCGTTAGCTGGCCCTAATCAAATATGACTGGTGCTCTTAGAAGAAGAAGAGATTAGGACACAGACACACAAATAGGAAAGATCATGTAAAGACACAGGGAGAAGGTGGCCATCTACAAGCCAAGGAGAGAGGCCTCAGAAGATTCCTTTGTTCTTGCACTTCTAGCCTTTAGAATTGTGAGAAAAATAATTTCTGTGGTTTAAGCCACTCAATATGTGGTACTTTGTTACGGCAGCCCTAGCAAACCAATGTGGACATCTTACACTTAACATATTTAAAATTAAGCCGTGGCCAGGCACGGTGGCTCACACCTGTAATCCCAGTAGTTTGGGAGGCCAAGGTGGGAAGATCACTAGGTTGAGAGATTGAGCATCCTGACCAACATGGTGAAATCCCGTCTCTACTAAAAATACAAAAATTAGCTGGGCGTGGTGGTGCGTGCCTGTAGTCCCAGTTACTTGGGAGGCTGAGGCAGAGGAATCACTTGAACCCGGGAAGTGGAGGTAGCAGTGAGCTGAGATCATGTCACTGCACTCCAGCCTGGTGAAAGAGCAAGACTCCATCTCAAAAATAAATAAATAAATAAATAAATAAATAAATAAATAAATAAATATGAAGCCCTACCATCACCTCCCTCCCAGGCCGTGAAAATCAGGCACTCATAGGGATGAAGTCCAAAGTTCGAGTCTAAGGGCCAGTAAGTAGAACTCTCTCTAAGGCATTTGTCAAGACAGCCAGATGGAAGAGGGTATTATGATTTCCTGGACATTGTACTGATTTGGAAATCAGAAATAACGTCTGGTCAATTAAAAAAAAGTAAGAATATATAAATAATCATCTAGAGAAGATAATAAAGTCACCTGAAATCTCATCACATTCATATAAATATTTCCCAACCTTCTGCCATGTAAAGAATATGCATTTTTTTTTCTGGGAAACATGATAAGTTACTATCATACTATTCTTTAACCTTCTCATATGTCAGACTTGTAAGTCTGTACAAGAAATCTAAGATTTGTTTCCAAGCCAGCGTCATCTCTTGCTTGAATTACTACTATAGCCTATTATCATGTACCTGTTTTTTCTTGCTTTTCCTGAATTGCCCATTGAGCAGAGTGCTATTAAAAAATGATTATAACATATTAATGTAAAATATGTTCTTGTTCCCTTCCTTACAACCCCTTCCCTCAGCCCTCCATCCATTGGCAGCCCATTGCATTTCAAATAAAATCTACATGTCTTGCCATGACCACAAAGCCCTCACAACTGTCTTTCTAATCGCATCTCTCATCACCTTACTTGCTATGCCTTGGGCTAGTTATTGGTTCTTGCAGTATTAAAAGGTCTCCAGGCCTTTGCATTTTCTGATTGTTTTTTGTGGAGTACTATTCTTATTTTTTGAATGACTTGATTTATTGTTCACATCTCAGAACAAATGCTACCTCCTCAGTGATGTTTGTCTTTCGGTCCACCTCATAGAAAACATCTTCTGGGTCACTTTTATCACATTCCTTTGTTTTATTCCTTCAGACTATTTAACATTTACTGAAGTGAATTTGTTTTATTTCTGTCTGCCTTGCCTAGAATGTAATCTCCATGAGGGTAGTGACTTTGCAGGTATTTAGCTTCTAGAAGAGTGCCTAGCTCATAGCCAGCACCAACACACACATACTTAATGCATAAATACAACCTCCTTTTTATTGTGGAGTTTAGATTATCTTCTTATTTGTAATATTTCCCAATAAGGAGATACCTTAAGTATGTAGAAAAGAGTGTACTATAAAAAAACCCTTTATACCCATCAACTAGTTTTATATTTCTTAATATTGTGCCAGTTTTGTTTTTTATACAGGTGTTTTATTTTTCTGAAAGATGAAACATTACAGTTTTACTTGACAGTCTCTATGGAGTTCTTTTGATCCCATTCTTTTTCCTTCCCTCTTGGAAGTGATCATAATCCTGAAAT
The DNA here is from genome assembly GCF_000001405.40 of Homo sapiens. Classification (NCBI taxonomy): domain Eukaryota; kingdom Metazoa; phylum Chordata; class Mammalia; order Primates; family Hominidae; genus Homo; species Homo sapiens. The sequence goes on along the minus strand of NC_000011.10, from coordinate 30,201,813 downwards.
AACTCTTTGATATCAGGTATATTAGTCAGGGTTCTCCAGAGAAACAGAACTGGTAGGATAGATCTAGATATCTAGATATAGATATATAAAAGAGGATTTATCATGAGAATGGGCTCCTAGGATTATAGAAGCTAAGAAGTCTCACAATATGCCATCTGTAAGCTGGAGAACCTGGAAGGTCAGTGGTATTCAACCTGAGTTCAAAGGGCTTGAGAACCAGGGGGCTTGTGGTGTAAGTTCTGGAATGTGAAGCGTAAGAACCAGGAGTTCTGATATCCGAAGGCAGAAGGTGGATGTCCCAGCTCAAGAGAAGAGAGTACATTTGCCCTTTCTTGACGTTTGTTTCATTCAAGCCCTCAAAGAATTGGATGATGCCTGACTATATCAGTGAGGGAGGATCTTTACTCGGTTTATGGACTCAAATGCTAATCTCTTCTGAAAAGACCTTGACAGACATGCCCGAAATAATGTTTTACCAGCTATCTGGGCATCCCTTAACCCAGTCAAGTGGAGACATAAAATTAGCCATCACACCACGGAAAAGGAATGATTAGTTTTTATAACTAAGAATATAAATTGCCTTCAATTTCTGTAGAGTTTGCAATTATGCAAAGCTTAACTATTTTTGGCAGAAGGGGAATCATACCCTGATTCAAGAGTTCCAGTGGTAAGTGGACAAAAAGCATACACCACTTTCCATGCTTTCCTTTGTCAGTCCTCAGAACTGGCCTCAATCAGTGGCCACAGTAATAGCAGCTTGGCTGCCCTCCTTCAGATGCTCTCTGAGAGAGATTTGTGAAGTTCTAAACTACTAGCATCCAGCTAGCACTGATTATCCACTTACTCTTGCAACCAGAAGAAAGCAGAAGAAGAAAGCAGGAGATTCTGGACTTAGACTTTTGCCCACTAGGTGGGTTTGGGCACATCACTTAACCTCTCTTGGCCTAGGAGATAGTCTCCTTATCTCATAAACGGTAATGGTAACTTTCATCCTTTATATCTATTTTAAGTACTAATTCTTATGCATGATTTATTCATGTACCCTAGCCTCTTCCCTTTACATGTAGTATGCCTCTGTTTGGATGCAACTGGTTTTAAGTGCCCTATTTAGATTTGTAGAGCTTGCAGAAATGAATAATTGTCCCAACACCCTTGTGACTTGTAGGTTGCTCAGAGTCAGGCAGATATTAGACCATGTCTTTGCCAAAGATTATTTACCTCCTTATCTCCCCGTGTCCTTGCTAGTTTGTTTCAGGGCAGCAATATACGCAGCTCCAAGCAATTATTTATGATTGGGCTGATCTAGTCTTGATAATGCTATTACTGTTTACTAGACTTTCTACCTTCCCTTGCAGCTAGGTATAGCTGTATAACCCAGTTTCCAGTAAGACATAAAGTCAGATTGGCAAAAGAGATGGAGAGTCTTCGGGGAATGGGGAACCTGAGTCGTTCGTAACATCATTGAGTAGCTGAACTACCATGCCACTAACTCCAAGCTTCTCGTTATTGAAAATCATAAGTCCATAGTTATTGAGGTCACTAGTTTTTTGTGTTTATTTGTTTTTTTGACACTTGCAGCTAAAAGCATTTCTACCTAAAATCAGTTTTCTACTGATGCTGTAACAAAATATCATAAACTTAGTGTCTTAAACAACTCAAACTTACTACCTTACAGTTCCAGAAGTGCAAAATGGTGTCAGTGGGCTAAATTCAATGTGTTGGCAGGGCGATGTTACTTTCTGGAGGTTCTAGAAGAATGTTTTCATGCTTTTTCCTGCTTTCAGAGGTCACCCACATTCCTTGACTTGTGGCCCCCTTCCTCCATCTTCAAAGCCAGCAACATCGATCTCTCTGTGCCTCTCTTCTGTGGCCACATCTTCCTTTGATTGCTTCTATTTGGCCTTGTTCATCTACTTTTAAGAATTACTGCATGATTTATAGTCCTTTGGGTATATACCCAGTAATGGGATGGCTGGGTCAAATGGTATTTCTAGTTCTAGATCCCTGAGGAATCGCCACACTAACTTCCACAATGGTTGAACTAGTTTACAGTCCCACCAACAGTGTAAAAGTGTTCCTATTTCTCCACATCCTCTCCAACACCTGTTGTTTCCTGACTTTTTAATGATTGCCATTCATGCTGCTATAAAGACACATGCACACGTATGTTTATTGAGGCATTATTCACAATAGCAAAGACTTGGAACCAACCCAAATGTCCAACAATGATAGACTGGATTAAGAAAATATGGCACATATACACCATGGAATACTATGCAGCCATAAAAAATGATGAGTTCATGTCCTTTGTAGGGACATGGATGAAGCTGGAAATCATCATACTTAGTAAACTATCACAAGAACAAAAAACCAAACACCGCATATTCTTACTCATAGGTGGGAATTGAACAATGAGATCACATGGACACAGGAAGGGGAATATCACACTCTGGGGACTGTTGTGGGGTGGGGGGAGGGGGGAGGGATAGCACTGGGAGATATACCTAATGCTAGATGACGAGTTAATGGGTGCAGCACACCAGCATGGCACATGTATACATATGTAACTAACCTGCACAATGTGCACATGTACCCTAAAACTTAAAGTATAATAATAATAATAAAAAAGAATTACTGCAATTACATTTGACCCACCTAGATAATTCAGGATAATCTCCTCTATTTCAAGGCCATCTGATTAACAATGTTAATTCCGATGGCAACCTTAACTCCCCTTTGCTGTGTAACCTAACATAATCACAGGTTCCAAAGATCAAGATGTGGACATCTTAGAGGTGGAGGAGAGGGCATTTTTCTACCTAGCACAGTGCCCAATGTTTTACTCTATTATAAAACAACAACAGTAGGAGCAACAGCAATGGAACTGCTTCCTTGTATAGTATTGCAGAGTTGTGGAAGGAGAGATGATCTGGTGTCCTGAGGCTTGAGTCTTGTTCTTGGCTCTGCCATTAAATTGGGCCATCTACTTTCTAGCCCTGGATTTCATTTTCTTCATCTCTTAAAGAAAAAAATTCTCTTGACCATTAATTTTCAAATTTTTAAAGTAGCAAATCCACTTCAAATAAAATAGAAAACCATGAAGACTCTATAGCTAATGTGATAGTGTGATTTATGCAAGAAGGACTCAATTCCTCATTCTTTTCCGTATCCATACCCTTTGCCATTGTTCTGGGTTGAGTAATGTCCTGCCAGAATTTATGTCTATATGGAGCCTCCAAATGTAACTTTATTTGGAAATAGGGCCTTTGTGGTTGCAGCTAGTTAAGATGAAGTCATCCTGGATTAGGGTGGTCTCTAATCCAGTGACTGATGTCCTTATACCATGAGAAAACAGAGATGCAGACACATAGGGAGAACATCATATGATGATGGAGGCAGGCATTGGAGTGATGTGTCTACAAGTCAAAAAACACCAGGGATTACAGGAAACCACTGTAAATTTGGAGAGAAGTAGATTCTTCTCACAGACCCCAGAAGGAACCAACCCTACTGACACATTGATTTTGGACTTCTAGCCTCCAGAACTGGGACAGAAGAAGTCTCTATTGTTTTAAGTCACCCAGTTTGTAGTAATTGTTTTGGCAACCCCAGGAGACTAACACAGCCATAGACTTTGCAGTGCCCTCCCACTGACTCTGGGCTCAGCCATGTGACTTTCTTCAGTTAGTGGATGTTGCAGAAGGTTGAAAAAAGTATTTGCGTGACTGGACTTGCCTTTGCTTTTGTGCCTCTTCTCTTGCTTAGAAACATGCCCAGGCTAGCCTGCCGGAGGATAAGAGAACTAGGAGCAGATCTAAGTTGCCTGGTCATCTTCCTTTGGGGCATCCTAGATAAGCTAGCAACTGAGCCTCCCTCAAACATGTGAGTGAGCCCAGATAGATCACTAAAACTACCCAGCCAAAATCCAGTTGACTTCAGACCTGTGATCAACAAATGCTTTTTGGTTTTTGTGCCATTAGGGCTTTGTGATCATTTGATACTCAGCATCATTGTGACAGTAAATCATTGATACGGAGAATGATGACAGGAGTGAGGTGACCAGGACAACTAAGGCCTCTCTACGGAACTCAGATTGCAAACCCTGCACTAACTGGGTTTTGAGCTCTCATCAGTTTTGACCTTTTTTCACTACCTAGGATACTGTAGTTTGCCTAATATACTTTCTAAAAGGTCAAATTTTTAGGAGTTCACTTTTTGGAGCCAGACCAATTAGACTAGAATCATGATACCACCATTTATTACTGACTATAAACTATGCACAAGTGGTTCAGCCTCATTAAGCCTCAATGTACTCATCCCTCAAATGGGGGAAAATTATACTGAAGTCACAGATCTACTGTGGGAAGTAAAGAGAATGATGCATCAGTAGTTAGCCTGGTTCTTCTCTACCCTCACCCCATGCCAAAGACTGAAGATCACATAGTTCTTTTGCAGAGTAATACATTGACAGTGGCTTTTGTTCCCCTTCTGTTCTTGAAACATCATACACATACTGCAAATATCCATTTACTGAATTTACTGACTGTGAAAGTTAAATGTTTTGTTCCATATACAAATATATTCTAGATACACATATATAATATATATGGACACACATATATGTGTATATTAACTTGTGTATACACACATATATTTAACAATGTTTACAATACTTCTTAATATATAATATTTCCCTGGTTTTAAGAAGGGAAATATTAAGAAGAAATAGAGCCTCTGAGGTATACAGTGATTTGCTCAGAACCACCCATCTTTAAACTCCAAATCCAGCTCTGTTTAGACAAAGTCCAGGAGCTTTCTGCTATATGGTCTGCCTCTTGATTTTTAAATTAAAGGTAATCTTGAGGTGCTAGCAGGTGGCCATTTTTGAAATAAAGCTGAAGATATTTTACTTTGCCTTTCTTGGCCTGGAGAATTTCACCCCCTTAAAGTCGCAGCAGTCGGGACTCTTGGAAGGCCACGTTGAGGAATGAGTGAGCTTTGGGAAGGTGGCCACGAGGTGGCAGTGGTGCACACCCACAGCAGAGGTAATCCTTGTTGTGAGCCAGGGTCTGTGAACGAGATGCTGGATAACCTTGTATACCACCTTGCTGGCTATCAGCATTGAATCACGCTGAAAGAGCAAGGCTCTGGTGTTTTGATGCAGAACATTAATAACATAAGTGGATGAGAAACCTGAGAACTGAAAATGCCACTTTAGCCTCAAGCCCCAAGTGTGAGACCAGCTCACTGATTCCAAGGCTGCCATTGCCTGTAAGCAACCAAGATTAACTGTTCTGGGCCATCTGAGGATCACTTTCTAGCTCTGGCTATTGAATTGTTCTAATTTTAAAATAAAAATGAGCTGTGCAGAAAAACAAGGGCATCCACAGTTTGAAAGTGCATTCCTTCTCCCTTTGAGCAAGTTTCTCTCTGTTTTCCCTTCCTTCCTTTCCTTGACCACATGTAGACCTGCCATTCCTTGCCCCATGCTACTATTAGTACAGCTAAAACTGGGGTGTGCACACTCTGTGCAAAAATATGCATGCACAGGGTCTTTTGAATGCCTTCCCGCCCTCCTCTTCTTACCTCTCAGGTGCAGCTTTCCTATAGTAACCGCTGAAGGGAAGCACAATGTAGTGGCTGAGCCATTTCAACCACAACCTGACTGCTTAATGCTTCTTATTTAAGGCTGTCCCTCCTGAGTACAGGGCCTTAGCAACAACATAATTGGCCAACATTTGGGATAGTTTGGTTTGGTGAGTTTGAGTTAATGTATCCCAGTGTTTCAGACTGTAATACGAATGCTAGAACAGTTGTTTCTTTGGGGAAGTTTTGTGTGTTATAACAAAAGGAGTCCGTTATCAAATCCGTTTGGGGAATTCCATAAGTGGTGCTTTGTGTTGTACCTTCTGGACTTCTCAAAACTATTAATTTGCTCTTGTACAATGGCAATCTTTAACCCATTTATGCCTGAGTTTGCAATTTTTTGAATTTTTACAATCAGACCTTGGCGATGACCTTGAGCAGTAGGAAATAAATAACTCCCACATGCTTAGCATTCCAATAATGGAACACTAGGCATAAATGGGATCAAGAAGCAGACATAATAGCAGTGACCACAGAACTACTACCTCACCCCTGCCTTTATGATTTTTCCTTAGGAATCTTAGTGGTATCCCCCAGAACCCTAGGGTTTCTCTAAGAGTCGTGTAAGAAATGTAGGCCTAACTTATTGCTTGTTGTATCATTTTCTATTGCTGCATAATAAACCACCCCTCACAAAGTGGCATAAAAGAACAACCATTATATGACACTCAAGATGCTGTGGGTCAGGAATTTGAAAAGGGCACAGCAGGGTCAAGTTGTCTCTGTCCCATGATGTCTGGATGCTGAGCTGGAAAGACTCTGACTCTCTGGGTGACTTGCTGGCTGGCATCATCTGGAGCCTCTTTCCCTCATATGTCTGGAGGAGCTGGGAGCTCAGCTGGGGCTGTTGGTGGGACACTTACACATGGCAGCACCTTGTGACTGTTGGGCTTCTACACAGCATGGTGGCTGGAATCCAAGAGTGAGTATCTTGAGAGACCCAGACAGAAGTTGTATCACCTTTTATGATCTTGCCTTGGAAGTCACATAGTATACTCCATCTGTAGTCACAAGCTTACCCAGATTCAAGGGGAAGGAACATAAGTCACGCCTCTCAATGGGAAAATTGTCAATGTCACCTTGTAAGAAGCACATGTGGCATGGGAGATGTTGTGGCAATTTTTGGGAAATGCAGTCTGGTACACTTACCCACACTTTATCTTTAGAAAGCTGTGGATGAGCAACTGGAGGGATAGGTGGGATTCATATCTCTGTAATATCAAGCATTCCCTATATATAGTTATGTCTTGAAGGATGTATTATTATGGAACATTAGAACCAGAAGAAAGGTTATATAGTCCTACTGTCCATAAAGTATAACTTTAATTTCTGAAAGGAGGCTGCACAGCCAGGCCCTGAGGATATCAAAACATACAAAGTTTTTAAACTTGTTTTTAAGGAGCTCACTGTCTATCAGGGGAGGCTGATTTGTAAAGAAAGTAAATACAAATACAGAGCTAGCACTTTGGAGTGAGCCAAAGAAAGTTTCAAAAAGATGGTGAAGTATGAACTGGAATTTGAAGAATGAAATGATCTCTTGAGTTTTCTGAGTTTTTTTAAGACAAGATAGAGCAGGGAAAGGCATATCACTCTATAGAGACTTATGTGAGAAGGCAGGGGTTGGGGAGTGAATCTGCACCTGTGTTTTAGGAAATCCAAGTGATTTATAAATCAAGTGCAGGTGGTGAGTAAAAAGAATGCAAACTGAAGAAGGCTTGTTCATCATCAGACTAAGGAATTTGAATTTTACCCTATAGCCCACAGAAAACCAGGTAAGGATTTTGAACAGAGAAATGACAAGGTTACGGTTTGGTTTTAGAAAGTGCCTCTGCCACAGCATGAAGGAGAGATTATCGATTGGAATGGCCAGAGCAAGAGATGTGATTAAGAAGCTATTGTCATGATTGAATGGAGAAATGATGAACCCTTGAACTAGGAAGTTGGCAGTAGGAATGGAGTGGAGGGAAAGTGGACTTGGATAATATTTAAGACAATGTATAAATTAATGTGTGTAAAGCACTTGAAATGAGGCCTGGTATGTAGAAGCACTCAGAAAGTATAAGTTACTGCTGTTATTATTATTCAGTGTTTTTGTAGCACCTGGATTTTCTTAGGACTGGTGGTGGGGATGAGGAGAAGACAGTGTCTAAGATGATACCATGTTTCTGATTTGGTCATGAGGAGCAGTCAGTAGCTTTCCCAACATAGATAATAAAGGAGGAGCTAGTTTGAGGAGCCATATAATGAGTTTAGTTTCAGACATGCGGATTTTGATGTCTCTGTAATCCCACAGAGACAAATGTTAGTAGTTTGTTGGAAATACAGGTCTGGAGAACAAGGGAAATGTTTGGGCTTGACCTAAGGATTTGGTTATCATTAGTGATTGCCAGTACAATTGAAACAAAGCACATTTCATTAATCAAATATTTTAGGACATTTGTCTTATCCTGCTCATTTTTTTTCCACAATTACTCATGTGGTGCAAAGACACTGTAGTTTCTCAATATTCCTTTAAAAACAAACTTTCAATATACCTCTTAAAATATGATAATATTATTTAGAAGGGACCCTGGCATAATTTTAACCTTAACACCCTTGAATATGAAATACTACTATAAGCTCTATTTTAATAGAATTCCATTGCTCTTTGCAAATGGAAAAAACAGCAACCTAGGTTTCTGTTTTTTGTTTTTATGCATTATTATGACTACAGGTTCTGATGACTTTGGTTACATTGCTTTGGGTTTAAGGCAGTTTTATTAAACTATAATTTATGCTTTGTTAATATAAATTGTGCTTTGCTAAAGAAATTTTATCCAGCTAATCAATGAAACATTGCTGGGAGTAATGCTAGGTATGGACAGATTAGGTGAAAGCAAGCTAAGAGTTTCCAAAATCCTATTTTATCCAAAATGTCTGCAAAGCCTGCCATTGGGCTGAGTAGAAAAAAAAAAAAAAATCTTTGTTTTCGGATAAGGTCCTTAGGCAGAATTGGCAAATACGTGACATATATACTGTGACACACTCCAACTCCTCTTTCATATCTAGACAGGAACTATAGATCCTAGAGGTGGCTTCCAAATCTGTCTTAAAGCATGCCCCTGGTAGCCACCAACTGATTAGTAGGTACTTGTAATAACACCAATATTTCTTTCCATCAAAGCTAATGTCTTCATAAGGTTCCTATAAAAATATTTGAAATATTTGAAAGAATATTTAACTTTAATATTTGTCCCTGCCAACATGTTAGTGAGAATTATTTTCACAGTTGTTAGATATCACTGACACAGACAATTAGAAAATGATTCAGAGCAGCACTTGTCCTATCCTTGAACCTGTTCTCCCTAGTATCTTTGCCAAATTCTTGGAGGAGACAAAATAAAATTAAGCTAATAGTTTCTCAGGAGATGAACCTGAGATGAACACTTAATCATAAGATCTTCCCACATTTTATAAGCTAGAATAAAAAACAGCAAGATAAAAGCTAACAAGATAAGAGTGAGTAGAAAAAAATGTAAAGTTCTGCCAAAACTTTCAACAAACCAATGATACAAGCCCAAGATGGAAGTGGGGAGGGAGGTTTAACAGATATTTCTAAGGAAAAGTGCAGCTAATGGCTTGATTTCACAAACTGATGTCTTTAAAAACACTGTGTTAATAGGAGCTAGTATTGCCCAAAGCCTGTTCTAAATGAAGTGTCCATAGCAAAAAGTTTTGGAAAATGCTTAGTTCAATAAAATTCAACAGGTTTCTTTATTGCAGGACTTCTCAGAACCCAAAATATACTAACATACATTGCAACTCTAGAGGAGGAACAACATTTTCCAAATGTATTTAATTATGACCCTTTTTCCCTACAGGGAGAATGTACCACTCACGTGGCAAACTCCTGGAAATGCTGATCTAGGTGTTTAGTTGACTGAAGTTCAGTTTTAGCTAATGATATGGCATATTGGTAAGGTGGAGTGCACTTGATGTTCTCTCATTCCACCAAAAGTATAATGTATAAAGGTAGAAGATAATGCTACTCTATTTTAACTGATTAGGCTATTTATTTATCAGACACATACACAATGTTTATTCTGTGTCATGCATACTATAATAATGCTATTAATTATCCCATTTTGTGGATGAGGAAATCTAAACAAGAATGACTTTGTAACACGGCAAAAGTCACACATCTAGCAAGTGGCAGAACTAGGATCCCGACCTGACCAATTGGTTCTGATATGGTTTGGCTGTGTCCCCACCCAAATCTCATCTTGAACTGTAGCTCCCATAATTCCCACATGTGGGAAGGACCTAGTCGGAAATAATTAAATCATGGAGGCAGTTTTCCACATACTGTTCTCATGGTAGTGAATACGTCTCGTGAAACTTGATGGTTTTTAAAGGGGTTTCTCCTTTCATTTGGCTCTAATTCTCTTGCCTGCCGCTATGCAAGATGTCTCTTGCTCTTCTGCCATGATTGTGAGGCCTCCCTAGCCATGTGGAACTGTGAGTCAATTAAACCTCTTTCCTTTATAAATTACCCAGTCTTGGGTATGTCTTTATTAGCAGCATGAGAACAGACTTATACAGGTCCCCAGGGTCTGTATGCTTACCTACCACAGCTGGAAAGATGCTTCCCACCTTGAGAGCCACACTTAGCCACCCTAGTGAAACCAAAGTGTCAACAGTATCACATATGAAGTAGCAGGAGATGCTAAAGAATGAGGACATGCCAGTGGCAGAACATATCTGTGGTTAGCCTTAAGTTTAATATCAAGTTGCCAGTGAGAACAATGTCAAACATCTCTAAGAGATCAACTGATTCTCACTGTGTTAAAGGAACTCTAGAAACATTACTGGAGTGTGAATGAAAAAGAACAGCAGCTTCTGAGAGGTGTGCTCATGTGATTGCCATTTACAAACTCCCAGGACTCCTTAGCACATTAGCTTAACAGCTAACATTTTGGCCTTACTGTTTTTCAAACAGCTTTCTGTAGAGAAGCAAACTCATCTATTTCTTTCAGATGACAAGGGCAGGATGTGTGTTCCAAGCCAGGGCTCCTTTTCTAATTGGCAATGCCTTGTAGAAGTTTAAAAGTGTGAGTGCCCTTTGACTCTGTAAATTACTTTAAGAATTTAAGACAGTTATGAAGATATTCAAGAATAGTCACTGTAATTTTGGCTGTAATAAATGGGGGGAAAAGGCCATGTTTAACATTTGGTTACAGAAATTACAGTATGTCGATACAGAAAAATACTTTGTTGTCACCAAAAATAATATTATAGAAGGATGAATGTATGAGATGTTCATGACAAATTAGGAGAGATGTGAGGTTACAAACAGTATGTACAATTGAACCTATTTTTTTAGGATCCTAGCCTATATCTATATACATATGTAAGTTTATATATGTATAAACCTGCACATATATAAGTATATATGTATATAGATAATATAATTTAATATGGAAGGTCATATTAAATACTAAATTTTCTCTAGAGCAGGACTGCCCACTAGAATTTCCAGTGATGATAGAAATGGTCTATCTTTGTTGCCTGATGCAGTAGCCATGAGCCACATGTAGCTATTGAGTACTTGAAATGTGGCTAGTGTGACTGAGGCACTGGATTTTTAATTTTTAACAATGAATTTAAATTTAAATAGCTATAGAGAGCAAATGGTTACCTTATTGTATTGCACAGTTCTAAAAATTAATAGTCTTTTATGCATTTGTATCTTCTAAATAGTCTAAAATTTTGTAATAATTTTTTAAAGACAAAAATTCCACTGTCTATCAAAATGAATTTTCAATCTGGTTAAGGCAGGAAGGGACAAAGAGGATTTCCAAGGTCAGAGGGATAGAGTTAAGAAACCCACTGGATAGAAGGTTGGGGTATATTTGAGAGTATTCCAATAAATAACAGCTTTCTTCCCAATCTGAGTTCTGAGCCAAATGAGAAACCAGAGAAAAGATTAAGCATGGATTACTACACAGCTATAAAAAATGAGATCATGGCCTTTGCAACAACATGGGTGGAGCTGGAGGCCATAATCCTAAGTGAATTAACACAGGAACAGAAAACCAAATACTGTATGTTTTCAATTATAAGTGGGGGCTAAACATTGAGTACACATGGATGTAAAGAAGAGATACATAGACACTGGGGCCTGTTGAGGGTAGAGATCAGGAGGAGGGTAAGGATTGAACAACTACCTGTTGAGTAGTATGCTGAGTACCTGAGTGACAAAATGATCTGTACACCAAACCTCAGTGACATGCAATTTACTCGTGTAACAAACCTGCACATGTACTCATTGAAACTGAAATAAAAGTTAAAAAGAAAAGACAATGGATTAAGCAAATGGAACCAAAATGTTATCTTTATTACAGTTAAAGCTGATATTGAATCTATATTTATAAAGCTATGTGCAAATGGGCATATGTCCCTGTGTAGAGAGACTTACCATGTGGTCACAGGCAGTGTGGGTCTCTGAAGCCACATCCATGGTCAGTGGGACCATGAAGGCCATGTTTCCTGGATGGTTGAGGGCAGTGAAGAACACATATTCTCTGCATATGGGCCACCTTCCAAGAAGAGGGGAGACAAGGAACAGGGCTAGAAATGTATAAGCAGGGATATCACTCTTCTTCCTTGGTAGACAAGCAAAGAGGCCAAAGAAGTTCAGAAGCATTATGCCAGCAGATCTCCCACCACAGGAAAGGAATATCAGGAGTAGGAAGAACATTCCCTACTCCCTTTCCTGACCCTCCCCCAGTGTTAAGAAGATTTAGGTTGGAGGGCATTAGTTGGTTTCCAGATGCTTGTCATAGAGCAAATGAGGCCATAACCAGGGAACAATACAGTCTTGACCAAGATAGAATGATTAAAAAATGAATGGGTCTCTCCTTTTCTAAAAATGACTCTTTATTTCTTTGAGTTAGAGTAAAATAGGTTAAAATATTTGTAGGTTAAAGATGGAATAAATTATATCCCCCAAATTTAGCCTCCTTAAAGTAAGCAGGGTTACCCCAAAAATGTGATCTCATAGCACATAAAATGCTTCCAAAGAAATGAATAATGGATCCAAATGTAAGAGCTAAAACTATAAAATTTCTAGAAGAAAATATAGAGAAAAATTTTTTGTGAACTTGGGTTAGACAAAGATTTCTTACATAGCACACAAAAGCAAACAATAACCAAAAAAATAGAAATGTAGTTTTCTTCAAAATTTAAAATGTTTTCTGTTTAAAGATTCCATTAAGAAATAAAAACACAAGCCACAGACTGGGAGAAAATATTTGTAAACCATATATTTGATGAAGAACATGTATTAACAACATATTATAACAATAAAAAGACTGGGCGCAGTGGCTCATCCATGTAATCCCAGCACTTTGGGAGGCTGAGGCAGGTGGATCACCTGAGGTCAGGAGTTCGAGACCAGCCTGGCTGACATGGTGAAATCTTATCTCTACTAAAAACACAAAAAATTAGCCGGGTGTGGTGGCAGGCGCCTATAATCCCAGCTACTGAGGAGGCTGGGGCAGGAGAATTGCTTGAACCCAGGAGGCAGATGTTACGGTTACAGTGAGCTGAGGTCACGCCATTGCACTCTGGCCTGGGCAACAAAAGTGGAACTCCGTCTCAAAACAAAACAAACAAACAAACAAAAAAATAGAATATGGGAAACAGATTTAAATAGATTTTTTTCAAAGAAGCACACTAAAGCAAATAAAGAATCTTCATCATTCATCAATAGGAAAATGCAATTTAGAACCATGATGAAATACCACAGTACACCTACTTGGAATGGATAAAATTGAAAAGACAGAAAATACTCAGTGTTGATGAGAATGTAGAGAAACCGGAACTCTTATTCACTTCTGGTAAGAATGTAAAATGGTACAGCCACTTTAGAAAACAGTTTGACAGTCTCTTTAAAAAGTTAAACATGCCTTTACATAAGCATCCACTTACCTAGATATTTACCCAGCAGAAATATAAACATATGCCCACAAAATGGCTTTTATGTAAATGTTCACAGCAGAATTATTCATAATAGCCCCAAACTGGAAACATCCAAAATGATCATCTACTGGTGAATGGATAAACAAAATGTGGCACATATACATAATTATATATATTTATAAAATGTGGCATATATAATTCTTTATGTATATATAAAATGTGATAAACAAAATGTGGCATACACACACCCCCACATATACACACACCCCCACATATACACACACACTGGAATATTACCCAGCCATAAAAGGAATTAACTAGTGACACACACAACATAGATGAATCTCAGAAAAAATCATACCAAGTGAAGGAAGCCAGACAAAAAAGACATTTTGTTTAATTTCATTTATGAGAAATTTCCAGGAAAGGCAAAGGTATCCTTATAGAAAGTAAATCTTTACTCTTATGGAAAGTAATAATTATAGTGTTTGCTTTGGCAAAGGGTAGGAGTGTGGTTTGACTGAAAAGGAACATTACAGAACTTTTTAAGGTGATGTAAGTATGCTAAAATTCTATTGTGGTGATAATTGCATGACTATATACATTTACAAAAACTCACTGAATTGCTCATTTGAAATGGATGGATTTTATGGTGGCTTCAAAAATTCTGTTTTATTTTTGTAATTTTTTAAGCTACCATGAGGTTTGTTTGGCGTTCCCTTTTCAGGATGCTAGGATTGGTTTCTCCAATTGTACTCTTGCACTACTCCAATCTATTCTCAACACAGAAACCAGAGATATTTTTAAAACAGAAGTCAGTTTGTGTCCTTCTTTGCTGAAAAACTCCCGTGGTTTTCTACTAATTTAAAAAATTCCAAACCCTTTACTATGGCTTACAAGGTCCTCTATGATCTAGCTTCTTCCTCTGTCTCTGACTCAACTTCTCTCATTATATTGCAGTGATATCAGGCTTTTAATTGTTTCTCAGACACACCCAGGTTATTTCTGCCATAGGTCCTTCACACTTGCTATTTCTTCTGCCTGGATTACTCTGACACCAGAGTTTCATGGCTATTTTCTTTTCACTTAGTTCAAATACCATCTTCTCATAAGACCTTTTCTTGACCAACAGCCTAAATAATCTTCCCCACAAAATCAGTCTCTGTTTTAGGTATCCATTTTGGTGTAACCAACCCACAATAAAGTGGCTTATAACAATTTATTATTGTGGGTTTACGGGGCTCAGCTGGGTGATTCTTCTGCTCCTCATAGTATAGGCAGCTGAATTCAACTAAGAGCTTTTTGGAGTGTTGATGTCCTCCACATGGCCTCTTGGGAGTTTGTCTTGAGCGTCTTCACAGCACAGCAGCTGAGTTCCGAGAGAGAGATTTCTCTTAACACCTGGTTGGAAAATTCTAGAGTGTCACTTCTGCTACATTTTATTGGTCAAAGTAAGTCTCAAGACCCACCCAGATTCAAGGGGAAAGAAGATAACTTTGCTTATTCAGAGGAAGGAGATGCATGTACAGGGATGTGAGGAATTATTTTGCTGCAATATTTTCAAGCAACCCAGGAAGGTCTCTATTGCAAAGTGTTTTTTTTTTCTCAGCATTCATAACTATCAGATACTTTATTGTATATTTCTCTGTTTGATGTTTTATTGTCACATTATCCTACTAGACTATAAACTCCATGAGAACTTAGCCTTTGTCTGGTTTGTTCACCATTATATTTCCAGCACCCAAAACGGTGCTGGCACATACTTGGTGCTAATGGGTGACTACTCGTTCCCCTTGAGTTTTGAGAGTGTCCTCCTCTTGAATAACTCCCTTGCTTCTCTCTACTTCTCACTTACTTCTCCCCATGAGAAGTGAAATGACTTTTCTGATTGGGTTCTGCTGAAATGAACTGATAATGTTCATCTCGGACTCTTTTCTCTCCCCTTCTCAGAGCTACCCAGTCATCTGCATTCTAGTCTTCCTTCTGCCATGTGGTAAGGGGTCTGGCCCTATCAGTATGATCTGCAGTTCCCCAGTTAGGCAATGACCAGATCATTGTCTGTTTACTTCAGCAAAGTATTAAGACTTTGTCACAGATATAAATTTACATTTTCTAATAAGCTTTATCAATAATAAAAGTGAGGTTTGGATTGCCTGATTCCTGTATTTATCTTTATATTGATTCTAGCCTTATAAGTGGAAGAGGGAGATATTATCTCTGAAACCCCAAACATGGGTATTTTATAAACTTTTGCAGATTGTACAGATGAATTTAGCCCATTGCCTCCTGATTAATTCCCTAACCATTCCCTTGTTTCTAGGTTTTCTTAGTTCCTCATGATTCTCATTCAGTTTCCATACCTGAGCTCCTTTGTCAGGACCTGAGAATGATGACCTATTTAGAGCATGATTTCCCAGCGCTAATCTTCATAACCCTCTGAAAAAAAGACTCTAGTATTTAAACTCTGATGACACACACAGTGCTCACTGGATTGAAGCATCTGCTATTTACACCTTGCTTAGTTTTATGGAACGAACCACTGGACCGTATCTTGCCAACCCTTTTCTTCCATCACAGTAGGTAAATTGGGTTAGGAGTCCTTCTGTAGTTGGTGGCCCCTTCTAAATTATCTCAAAAGTATTTAATGATCACCTATGTGAGCATCGTTATGTGTGGTATTGTAACTAACAATATTATTAGACAAATAGAGAACTAACCAGAATACATTTTACTTATTTGTACTTCTTGGCTTAACTCCTACAATATTGCATAAAACCCTAAAATTGTAAGATAACCCAATATACTATTCTCTCTGTTCAGGATTTGGACAACTTGGTTCATTAACTCTGGTTAATTTAATATTGCCATCTAAATCTCACAAAGATTACCAAATCTTTCTTACATGACCCATAAGAGTTAGGTGTTGTAATTATGACAATCAGTTATTTTCAGTAGGTATGCTGAAAACTGATTCTCTTATCAAGTTCATAAGCCAGAATTTGTATGTGATCTCCCAGCAAAAAGGAAAATAAAATAAAGTTATGGCTTTCTGATTGGTTGATTTCTGGGTGAATAGGAGTTTACAGTAGGTTTAAATTCCTTTGTTACCCATTTTATATTGTATTTTTCTTTTACCCTTCAATGAATTAAACACCTTAGGCACAAGTAATTAAAGTCCTTAATTCATATTAGAGCTAATTCTTCTTTAAATGCCAATCTATTAATAGCCCAATAGGGAATACACACTGGCCTGATTTATCTTAGAAGGTTAGTGATAGCAGTGTGTGCTTTACTCTGGTCATCAAAGCAAAAATGTAGGCAACTTTATTGCATGGAAAAGAAAATATAGGGTTAGATTTATCTCTCTTGAACTCCTTTGAACTTTAATTTGGTTTAGGAGTGAGGTTAGCTAGACTTTTCTTTTCTTTTTTTTTTTTTTTTTTAGTGGTTTCTCATTTATTGTTTTTAATTTGCATTTCCCCAGTAACAAATATATGCATTTTTTTCATATTTTATTTACAGTTCATCTATTTTCTTTGGTGAGGTGTCATCTGTTTGGATCTATGTTTTCTTTTTAATTGGGGTTTTTCTTTCTTTTTTTAAATTTTATTATTATACTTTAAGTTTTAGGGTACATGTACATAACATGCAGGTTTGTTACATATGTATGCATGTGCCATGTTGGTGTGCTGCACCCATTAACTTGTCATTTAGCATTAGGTAGATCTCCTAATGCAATCCCTCCCCCCTCCCCCCACCCCACAACAGTCCCCGGTGTGTGATGTTCCCCTTCCTGTGTCCATGTGTTCTCATTGTTCAATTCCCACCTATGAGTGAGAATATGCGGTGTTTGGTTTTTTGTCCTTGCAATAGTTTGCTGAGAATGATGGTTTCCAGTTTCATCCATGTCCCTACAAAGGACATGAGCTCATCATTTTTTATGGCTGCATAGTATTCCATGGTATATATGTGCCACATTTTCTTAATCTAGTCTATCGTTGTTGGACATTTGGGTTGGTTCCAAGTCTTTGCTATTGTGAATATTGCCGCTATAAACATACATGTGCATGTGTCTTTATAGCAGCATGATTTATAATCCCTTGGGTATATACCCAGTAATGAGATGGCTAGGTCAAATGGTATTTCTAGTTCTAGATCCCTGAGAAATCACCACACCAACTTCCACAATGGTTGAAGTGGCTTACAGTCCCACCAATAGTGTAAAAGTGCTCCTATTTCTCCACATCCTCTCTAGCACCTGTTGTTTCCTGACTTTTTAATGATCACTATTCTGACTGGTGTGAGATGGTATCTCATTGTGGTTTTGATTTGCATTTCTCTGATGGCCAGTGATGATGAGCATTTTTTCATGTGTTTTTTGCCTGCATAACTGTCTTCCATTGAGAAGTGTCTATTCATATCCTTCACCCACTTTTTGATGGGGTTGTTTGTTTTTTCTTGTAAATTTGTTTGAGTTCATTGTAGATTCTGGATATTAGCCTTTTGTCAGATGAGTAGGTTGCAAAAATTTTCTCCCATTATGCAGGTTGCCTGTTCACTCTGATGGTAGTTTCTTTTGCTGGGCAGAAGCTCTTTAATTTAATTAGATACCATTTGTCAATTTTGGCTTTTGTTGCCATTGCTTTTGGTGTTTTAGACATGAAGTCCTTGCCCATGCCTATGTCCTGAATGCGATTGCCTAGGTTTTCTTCCAGGGTTTTTATGGTTTTAGGTCTAACATGTAAGTCCTTACTCCATCATGTATTAATTTTTGTATAAGGTGTAAGGAAGGGATCCAGTTTCAGCTTTCTACATATGGCTAGCCAGTTTTCCCAGCACCATTTATTAAATAGGGAATCCTTTCCCCATTGCTTGTTTTTGTCAGATTTGTCAAAGATCAGATAGTTGTAGATAAGCGGCATTATTTCTGAGGGATCTGTTCTGTTCCATTGGTCTATATCTCTGTTTTGGTACCAGTACCATGCTGTTTTGGTTACTGTAGCCTTGTAGTATAGTTTGAAGTCAGGTAGCGTGATGCCTCCAGCTTTGTTCTTTTGGCTTAGGATTGACTTGGCGATGCGGGCTCTTTTTTGGTTCCATATGAACTTTAAGGTAGTTTTTTCTAATTCTGTGAAGAAAGTTATTGGTGGCTTGATGGGGATGGCATTGAATCTATAAATTACCTTGGGCAGTATGGCCATTTTCACGATATTGATTCTTCCTATCCATGAGCATGGAATGTTCTTCCATTTGTTTGTATCCTCTTTTATTTCATTGAGCAGTGGTTTGTATTTCTCCTTGAAGAGGTCCTTCACATCCCTTGTCAATTGGATTCCTAGGTATTTTATTCTCTTTGAAGCAATTGTGAATGGGAGTTCACTCATGATTTGGCTCTCTGTTTGTCTGTTATTGGTGTATAAGAATGCTTGTGATTTTTGTACATTGATTTTGTATCCTGAGACTTTGCTGAAGTTGCTTATCAGCTTGAGGAGATTTTGGGCTGAGATGATGGGGTTTTCCAG
The DNA here is from genome assembly GCF_000001405.40 of Homo sapiens. Classification (NCBI taxonomy): domain Eukaryota; kingdom Metazoa; phylum Chordata; class Mammalia; order Primates; family Hominidae; genus Homo; species Homo sapiens. The sequence goes on along the minus strand of NC_000011.10, from coordinate 30,182,683 downwards.
ATATACAATCATGTCATGTGCAAAGAGGGACAATTTGACTTCCTCTTTTCCTAATTGAATACCCTTTATTTCCTTCTCCTGCCTTATTGCCCTGGCCAGAACTTCCAACACTACGTTGAATAGGAGTGGTGATAGAGGACATCCCTGTCTTGCGCCAGTTTTCAAAGGGAATGCTTCCAGTTTTTGCCCATTCAGTATGATATTGGCTGTGGGTTTGTCATAAATAGCTCTTATTATTTTGAGATACGACCCATCAATACCTAATTTACTGAGAGTTTTTAGCATGAAGAGTTGTTGCATTTTGTCAAAGGCCTTTTCTGCATCTATTGAGATAATCGTGTGGTTTATGTCGTTGGTTCTGTTTATATGATGGATTACATTTATTGATTTGCATATGTTGAACCAACCTTGCATCCCAGGGATGAAGCCCATTTGATCATGGTGGATAAGCTTTTTGATGTGTTTCCGGATTTGGTTTGCTAGTATTTTATTGAGGATTTTTGCATTGATGTTCATCTAGGATATTGGTCTAAAATTCTCTTTTTTTGTTGTGTCTCTGCCAGGCTTTGGTATCAGGATGATGCTGGCCTCATAAAATGACTTAGGGAGGATTCCCTCTTTTTCTATTGATTGGAATAGTTTCAAGAAGTTATGGTACCAGCTCCTCTTTGTACCTCTGGTAGAATTCAGCTGTGAATCCATCTGGTCCTGGACTTTTTTTGGTTGGTAAGCTATTGATTATTGCCTCAATTTCAGAGCCTGTTATTGGTCTATTCAGAGATTCAGCTTCTTCCTGGTTTAGTCTTGGGAAGATGTATGTGTCAAGGAATTTATTCATTTCTTCTAGATTTTCTAGCTTATTTTTGTAGAGGTGTTTATAGGATTCTCTGATGGTAGTTTGTATTTCTGTGGGATCAGTGGTGATATCCCCTTTATCATTTTTTATTGCATCTATTTGATTCTCCTCTCTTTTCTTCTTTATTAGTCTTGCTAGCAGTCTATCAATTTTGTTGATCCTTTCCAAAAACCATCTCCTGGATTCATTAATTTTTTGAAGGGTTTTTTGTGTCTGTATTTCCTTCAGTTCTGCTCTGATTTTAGTTATTTCTTGCCTTCTGCTAGCTTTTGAATGTGTTTGCTCTTGCTTTTCTAGTTCTTTTAATTGTGATGTTAGGGTGTCAATTTTAGATCTTTCCTGCTTTCTCTTGTGGGCATTTAGTGCTATAAATTTCCCTCTACACACTGCTTTGAATGTGTCCCAGAGATTCTGGTATGTTGTGTCTTTGTTCTCATTGGTTTCAAAGAACATCTTTATTTCTGCCTTCATTTCGTTATTTACCCAGTAGTCATTCAGGAGCAGGTTGTTCAGTTTCCATGTAGTTGAGCGGTTTTGAGTGAGTTTCTTAATCCTTAGTTCTAGTTTGACTGCGCTGTGGTCTGAGAGACAGTTTGTTATAATTTCTGTTCTTTTACATTTGCTGAGGAATGCTTTACTTCCAACTATGTGGTCAGCTTTGGAATAGGTGTGGTGTGGTGCTGAAAAGAATGTATATTCTGTTGATTTGGGGTGGAGAGTTCTGTAGATGTCTATTAGGTCCGCTTGGTGCAGAGCTGAGTTCATTTCCTGGGTATCCTTGTTAACTTTCTGTCTCGTTGATCTGTCTAATGTTGACAGTGGGGTGTAAAGTCTCCCATTATTATTGTGTGGGAGTCTAAGTCTCTTTGTAGGTCACTAAAGACTTGCTTTATGAATCTGGGTGCTCCTGTATTGGGTGCATATACCTTTAGGATAGTTAGCTCTTCTTGTTGAATTGATCCCTTTACCATTATGTAATGGCCTTCTTTGTCTCTTTTGATCTGTGTTGGTTTGAAGTCTGTTTAATCCCAGACTAGGATTGCAACCCCTGCCTTTTTTTGTTTTCCATTTGCTAGGTAGATCTTCCTCCATCCCTTTATTTTGAGCCTTTGTGTGTTCCTGCACGTGAGATGGGAGTCCTGAATGCAGCACACTGATGGGTCTTGACTCTTTATCCAATTTGCCAGTCTGTGTCTTTTAATTGGAGCACTTAGCGCATTTACATTTAAAGTTAATAGTGTTATGTGTGAATTTGATCCTGTCATTATGATGTTAGCTGGTTATTTTGCTTGATAGTTGATGCAGTTTCTTCCTAGCCTTGATGGTCTTTTCAATTTGGCATGTTTTTGCAGTGGCTGGTACCAGTTGTTCCTTTCCATGTTTAGTGCTTCCTTCAGGAGCTCTTTTAGGGCAGGCCTGGTGGTGACAAAATCTCTCAGCATTTGCTTGTCTGTAAAGTATTTTATTTCTCCTTAACTTATGAAGCTTAGTTTGGCTGGATATGAAATTCTGGGTTGAAAATTCTTTTCTTTAAGAATGTTGAATATTGGCCCCCACTCTCTTCTGGCTTGTAGAGTTTCTGCCAAGAGATCAGCTGTTAGTCTGATGGGCTTCCCTTTGTGGGTAACCTGACCTTTCTCTCTGGCTGCCCTTAACATTTTTTCCTTCATTTCAACTTTGGTGAATCTGACAATTTTGTGTCTTGGAGTTTCTCTTCTCAAAGAGTATCTTTGTGGAGTTCTCTGTATTTCCTGAATTTGAATGTTGGCCTGCCTTTCTAGATTGGGGAAGTTCTCCTGGATAATATCCTGCAGAGTGTTTTCCAACTTGGTTCCATTCTCCCCGTCACTTTCAGGTACACCAATGAGACGTAGATTTGGTCTTTTCACATAGTCCCATATTTCTTGTAGGCTTTGTTCGTTTCTTTTTATTCTTTTTTCTCTAAACTTCTCTTCTTGCTTCATTTCATTCATTTCATCTTCCATAGCTGATACCCTTTCTTCCAGTTGATCTCATTGGCTACTGAGGCTTCTGCATTTGTCACATAGCTCTCTTGCCTTGGTTTTCAGCTCCATCAGGTCCTTTAAGGACTTATCTGCATTGATTATTCTAGTCATCCATTCATCTAATTTTTTTTTCAAAGCTTTTAACTTCTTTGCCATTGGTTCCAATTTTCTCCTGTAGCTTGGAGTAGTTTGATCGTCTGAAGCCTTCTTCTCTCAACTCGTCAAAGTCATTCTCTGTCCAGCTTTGTTCCATTGCTGGTAAGGAGCTGCATTCCTTTGGAAGAGGAGAGGTGCCGTGATTTTTAGAGTTTCCAGTTTTTCTGCTCTGTTTTTTTCCCATCTTTGTGGTTTTATCTACCTTTGGTCTTTGATGATGGTGATGTATCTACCTTTGTTCTTTGATGATGGTGATGTACAGATGAGTTTTTGGTGTGGATGTCCTTTCTGTTTGTTAGTTTTCCTTCTGACAGTCAGGACCCTCAGCTGCAGTTCTGTTGGAGTTTGCTAGAGGTCCACTCCAGAACCTGTTTGCCTGGGTATCAGCAGCGGTGGCTGCAGAACAGCGGATTTTGGTGAACCGCAAATGATCGTTCCTCTGGAAGTTTTGTCTCAGAGGAATACCTGGCCGTGTAAGGTGTCAGTCCGCCCCTACTGGGGGGTGCCTCCCAGTTAGGCTACTTGGGGTTCAGGGACCCACTTGAGGAGGCAGTCTGCCCATTCTCAGATCTCAACCTGCATGCTGGGAGAACCACTACTCTCTTCAAAGCTGTCAGAGAAGGACATTTAAATCTGCAGAGGTTACTGCTGTCTTTTTGTTTGTCTGTGCCCTGTCCCCAGAGGTGGAGCCTGCAGAGGCAGGCAGGCCTCCTTGAGCTGTGGTGGGTTCCACCCAGTTCGAGCTTCCCGGCTGCTTTGTTTACCTATTCAAACAACTAACTCGGCAGTGGCGGGCGCCCCTCCTCCATCCTCGCTGTCTCCTTGCAGTTTGATCTGGCACTGCTGTGCTAGCAATGAGCGAGACTCCATGGGCATAGTACCCTCTGAGCCAGGTGAGGGATATAATCTCCTCGTGTGCTCTTTTTTAACCCTTTGGAAAAGTGCAGTATTAGGGTGGGAGTGACCCGATTTTCCAGGTGCCGTCTGTCACCCCTTTCTTTGACTAGGAAAGGGAATTCCCTGACCTCTTGTGCTTCCCGGGTGAGACGATGCCTCGCCCTGCTTTCGCTCGCACACAGTGCGCTGCACCCACCGTCTTGCGTCTACTGTCTGGCACTCCCCAGTGACATGAACCGGTACCTCAGTTGGAAATGCAGAAATCACCCATCTTCTGTGTCACTCACGCTGGGAGCTGTAGACCGGAGCTGTTCCTGTTCGGTCATCTTGGCTCCTCCTAGCTAGACTTTTTCTATAAAGGGCCAGATGGTAAATATTTTAGTCTTTGTATGCTACCCCAAGTGTTTTTCAACTACTCAACTCTGTTATTGTTGCACAAAAGCATCTATGAGCAATACATAAATAAATGAACATGACTGTATTCAAATAAACCTTTATTTAAAAACCTTAACAAAGGTTTAAAAACCTTTATTAAAAAGCCCAGGTTTGGTGTTTGGGTTATAATTTGTTTACTCGTGGTTTAGGACATTAGGGACAGGAGTGGAGACATTCATAGTGTGTTGGAATTGAAAAGGCCAAGTGACATGGTATTCAGTCCTGAGTCTGCCAGTTTGGTCATTTATTGAGCATTTACTATAGGGATGGAAATACTGAGGCTTGTGTTGTTACTTTCCGCTCTGTTACCTGTCACCAGGCACCTCAACTCAGTCACAGTACCTCTTCCCAAAGAGTCCAGATACACTGTTGGAATATTTCTTAATACAGTATTGCAGGCAGCTGCTATCTAGGAATTAGGGTTCTGCGTGAGATACAATTACTTTGTCACCCCTGAAACACTATGTGTCAGTTACTGTGCAGGGTGATTAACATATTGATATGGTTTGGCTATTTCCCCACCCAAATCTCACCTTGAATTGTATTTCCCATAATCCCACTTGGTGCACTGTTTCCAAACCATTCCATCCAAGGTTAAAAGGGGCCAAGGTACAGTTCAGGCTGTGGCTTCAGAGGGTGGAAGCCCCACGCCTTGGTGGCTTACATGTGGTTTTTGGCCTGCGGGTGCACAGAAGTCAAATATTGAGATTGGGGAACTTCCACCTAGATTTCAGAGGATGTAAGAAAATGCCCGAATATCCCGGCAGAAGTTTGCTGCAGCAGTGGAGCCCTCATGGAGAACCTCTGCTAGGGCAGTACAGAAGGGAAATGTGGGGTTGGAGACCCCATACAGAGTCTTTGCTGGGGCACTGCCTAGTGGAACTGTGAGAAGAGAGTCACTGTCCTCCAGACCCCAGAATGGTAGATCCACTGACAGTTTGCATCATGTGCCTGGAAAAGCTGCAGACACTCAACACCAGCCCATGAAAGCTGTACTCTGCAAAGCCACAGGGGTGGAACTTCCCAAGACTGTGGGAACCCACCTCTTGCCTCAGTGTGACCTGGATGTGAGACATGGAGTCAAGGAGATCATTTTGGAACTTTAAGGTTTAATAACTACCCTGTTGGATTTCAGACTTGCATGGGGCCTATAGCCCCTTTGTTTTGGCCAATTTATCCCACTTGGAATGGGTGTATTTACCCAATCCCTGTACCCCTATTGTATATTGGAAGGAACTAACTTGTGTTTGATTTTACTGGCTCATAGGTGGAACAGACTTGTCTCAGATGAAACTTTGGACTTGGACTTTTGAGTTAATGATGAAATGAGTTAAGACTTTGTGGGACTGTTGGGAAGGCATGATTGTGTTTTGAAATGAGAACATGAGATTTGGGATGGGCCAGGGGTGGAATGATATGGTTTGGCTGTGTCCCCACCCAAATCTCATCTTGAATTGTAGTTCCCATAATCCCCACATGTCACGGGAAGGACCTGGTGGGAAGTAATTGAATCATAGGGGCAGTTTCCTCCATGCTATTTTCATGATAGTGAGTTCTCATGAGATATGATGGTTTTATAAGCGTCTGGCATTTCCCCTGCTGGTTCTCATTCTCTCTCCTGCTGCCCTGTGAAGAGGTGCCTTCTGCCATGATTGTAAGTTTCCTGAGGCCTCCCCAGCCATGTGGAAACAAGAGTCAATTAAACCTCTTTTCTTTATAAATTACACAGTCTTAGGTATATCTTCATAGCAGCTTGAGAATGGACTAATACACATATTAAGATTAGCTCAACTTGATACTTACTCTTTAGGGGCTCAGTGCCATATTATTCAGTGCCATTTCCCTAGGTCAAATTATTTAACTCCTCCTTAATCTATAAAATGGGAATACAGGATCTTGCCGTATCTTTCTCATTGGACAATTGTGTGTATCAATGTGGCACTGTAGGCGAACATATTCTATAAGTGGAATACACTGAGTAAATCTGTCTTTACATACTTTCAATAATTGTTTAATAAGTGAAAGCACCAAATAAGTGTATATCAAGCCCCAGTTTATTCTTTAGAATTTGGACAGTGTCCAGACTCTGTAGATAAATTCCCTGCAAACTTTCAAGGTTTACCTGAAAGCATTCAGCTACTGGGGCTTGAGAAAATTAACCACTCATAAAAATGACTTTATTTTGAGAAATTAGGCCAAACATTTCACTGCTGCTACTCTGATGTGAGAATTTTGTTGGCTAAGGGTCCTCTGTTCTCCAGCCTTACAGGCGCCAGGTGTCAAATCCTTTTGAAATAGTTCCTAAAGGACAGAGATCTGAATGCAGTCATAGTGGAAGACATTTTTAGTGGAGACAGCATGGGTGGGAGCCTTCACGGGAAGCTCTTTGAGAGATCTCAGGAGACTATAATGACTTTTGGTTTCAAGTAATAGAAGCCAACTTGTTCTCATCTAAGGAAAGACAGGAAATTTATTTTGAAGAAACAGGGCCGGCTCTTGGAACTTGGGTAATATTGCAGCAAATCCTCAGGAAGTGACTGGAAGTAGAAACGTAAAAGCCATGAGCCTCTCTGTGTATCACTTTACTCTCTGTGTGTGATGATTTCATGCCTTGATTGCTCTCTCAATTGATTATCTTCTTACATCCCCAGTCTACAATGGGAAAAGGTGATGGTGCTTCTACTTCCAAAGTTTTATGTTAAAGGCCTCAACTAACTTGACTCCTGGTTTTGATTCTAAATGTCCAGGGTTGGAACTGTATGCATCAGTTACCTACTTTGGTTTAATCAAGTGTAGTCAGCAATACAAAGAAATGCCAAGAATGTATTTCGGTGACTTAGAAGGAGCTGTATTTTCCTGAGAAAAATGGGTAGGTAATTGATCTACATATGGTACAGATACTCCAAAAAATGCCCAATTGATTTACATATGGTACAGATACTCCAAAAGATGTCCATTTCAGGGCTCCAATGAAAAGATGCCCCTCCTGCTTGATATTTTATGGCTGAAGTATTCAGGTATAAGGCTTAGGTTAGAGGAATAAAGTGGTCCTGGCTGGGTCACCCTCAAAAGTTTCGTCTCAGAGATGCTGACCTTTCTTATAACCCTCATCCTGGGCCTATGTTTTCACAGTCTGTCTCTTCCCTAGTGCGGATTATTGAGCTTCTATTATGTGGGAATGGTGACTCATGAGTGCTCTGTCAAGTGTCAGTAAATGGATGATATGAAACACTATTCTTCTACAAAAATAAATGTGTACCTTCTAATTTTTTTCCTCTAGATCTAATGAAAATCTTTCAAGTCAAGTGAGTTCTTAGAGCATTGCACCTTCTGTAATTCTTGGCCTTTCACAAGTACAGCAGAAACCTTTGGAACAGAAGAGAATATTTGTTCTTTTATAATCATTCCTCCCTTGTGTTCTTAGCACACTACTGGGCACACGGCATCTGCCCTACAAATACTTGCCAAAGTGGCTTTTCTGATAGGAGTCCAAGAAGATGGAATCATAAGAATGACTTCTGTGGTTAGGAGTGAGCTGGGAGAGAATATTTTCTTATAAAAGCTGGAAGGGAACTTTGCTTCTAAACTAATGTGGTAGACTGAATAATGACCCCCTGAAGTATGTCCACATACCCTAATTTTCTGGAACCTGTGAATGTTACCTTATATGGCAAAAAAGAATTTCAGATGTGATTAAGCATCTTAAGATGGGAGATTATTCTGAATTATCCAGATGGGCCCGGTGTAATCATAATACTTCTTAGAAGAAGAATACAGGAGGTGTCAGAGTCAGAAGAAAAGATGATGTAATTAGTAACAGAAGCAGAGATTGGAGTGGTGCCCTTTGAAGATGGAGCAAGAATTAAGGAGGCCAAGGAATACAAGTGGCCACTAGAAGCTGAAAAAAATCAAAGGAATGGATTCTTTCCTCAGAGTCTCCAGAAGAAACCAGCCCTGCTGATACCTTGACCTTAGCCCATCAAAACTAATGTGACTGGAGATCACAAAAGGAAAGTCACAGGCAAAATTCCATGAGCATGTCTGTTTTGTTTGGCCAGAATAGTGTTTTGAGAAGGAAAAGAAAAATGAGCCAAACTTTAAAAACTGGTACATTTCACACACACAAAAAATCTACATTTCTAGATTCTCTTAAAGCAAGCAAACAAACAAACAAACAAATAATTTCCTCCCCTCCTCAGAGACATAGAAATATATAACCTCCATTTTGGTGTGGCAGCACAGCCAGCAGCTGACTCTGAGTTGCAGCTCTTCCCATAGCTGGGATTTGTGCCTGCTAATTGCAGTCTCCTCCACTCCCTATTGTCTCTCTATCTGGGTATAGCAGAGAAATATTCCTGTGCATCCACCTCTGTAGATAGGTTCAGAGGGCGGCATATTTTAAGAGAAAGAAATGTTGATAAATGTACAATACTAATGCAGGATGTTAACAAAAGGGAAAACTGGGAGTGGGGTATATGGGGGCTCTACTATTTTTGCAACCTTTCTGTAAATCTTAAGCTATTCTAAAACAAAACATTTATTAAGAAATGAAATTGAGCATATTTCTTTATTAAAGTGGAGAATATTATTATGTATTAAATTTGCAAAGTGTTTTTCTGTCAAAAGAAGACTCCTGAGTCAGTTTCACTCATTGCATTATTCTCTGGGCTTCTCTCAGCATGAGTTCCATGCTTAGGGAACCTCCAGATGTTATCATTTTACAAGGGAAGATTCTGAGGCCCAGAGAGGTAAAGTAGCTTGCCCAGGGTCAGAGAACTACTCAGGAAGGAGCTGTGAATGGAACCTAGGCTTTCTAACTAACTTTTAGCCAGTGTTCTCTTTTTGTTCCTGCTGTCATGGGGACTAATGACAATAGTGAGGGTATAATGCAGATAATATTTTGAAATGTAGTGGGAATCCTATTCACCTTTCTAGAGTCTTCTATTTGAGGAGAGAAGCAGTGCAGATAGGAGGTTCAGTGTTTCACTGAGCAGCCTGCTAGCTTTTTACTTTTTTTTTTTTACTTAACTCATTTATATTTCATATCTGGTGCACAGGGAAAACATTTGACATTTGTCCAAATACCAAATGTACTTTGGATTTCATCACTTACATATTAGCAAACTCCAGCAACGCACAAGAACATTTCCTCTGAAAGCAGGAAGTGTAGGGTTTGAGAAGTTTGGAGCAGAGGCCTCATGAGTGGAGCAGAGAGGCTGAGACTGGGCTCTGGCCCTTGATGATGCTCTCCGGTGAAAGCTGAGGCAGGCATCCTGTGTGGGCTCCTGCCTTGCTGGGAGGCGGGGATTAAGGGATTAAGTAGATTTAGGAGGTTATGACTGCTTCCAGAACACTGTGCATTTATAGTCTTGGGTCTAAAGAGTCTTTTGTGTGGCTGGCTCAGAGCTGGCCAAAAAGTCAAGGTCAATTTGCTGGAAGACTAAACAGGCTCAGAAATGGGCTGGTGGCTGGCCTTCCTCTGGTCTTTCTCTTGAAGGTCTTTCTCTTCTATACCAACAGCTTTCTCTGGAATCGTGCAGTGGTGATGGTAACAGAGATAACAGTATTTCTAACTTTTCCTGCAGTTAAAAAGTCTGTAGGTATAAGGGCTGGAATAGAGAGGTAAAAATAATGATGATGTTAGCTACTATTTTATTGAGTGCTTCTATGTGTTCATGTAATTTATGTACTAAATATGGAGGTAAAGTGTTTCTCTTTTGCCAGAGTTTACCTTAGCCTGTTCCATTCATTGCCTTACTCTTTGGGTATCTCTAAGCATGAATTCATGAATTCCTGGACATGCTTTTTTAATCTTATAGATGAGGATTCTGAGGCTCGGAGAGATAAAATAACTTGCCCACAGTCCCAGAGCTAGTCAGGAAGGAGTTGTGAATGGATTCCAGTCTTCCTTCTAGCCTAGTGCTCTCTTTTCTTTCCTGTTGCTGAGGGGAGTGATGGCAATAAAAAAGGAATAATAAAGTTGATATCCTGGAGTTCATGCTCATGTTGGTATAGGCAGTATGGTGTACTGCCTGTAGGCAAAGACTCTAGAGCTGATTGCGTGGGTTTAAATCTCAACTCCACCACTTAATAGCTGTGTGCCTAGTGAAAGTTAACCCCTCTGAACCTGCTTTTTTCTTCTATAAAATGAAGACAGTAATAACACCCACTATTTAGGGGATATATGAGAATTCAATACCCACTTCAAAGGCTACATGAGGATTAAGTGAGTTAATAAATCAATAGTACCTTGCTCATAGTAGCTACTATATAAATGTTAGCTCTTACTGTGAGATAGTTATATAAATATTGCCTCTATTTTTAAAATGAGGACAAAAGCTCAGAGAGATTACATAGTTTGCCCAATAACATACAGAAAGGGGCCAAGCCGGGATTTCGATTCAGGTTTTTGCTCTAAATCATCTACTGTATTACCTATTAGTCACTCAGGTTTTTTTCAGGCCAGTATTCCTTGGCTACCTCTCTGGATGGCACCTGGTATGTACACAAAGTTTCTGTGTTTACATTAGCAAAATATTGACATTTCCATAGGTCTTAGATCTTTCACTTCCTTCTTTCACTTGTCTTGAATATTTTTTCCTGTTTTTCTAGGAGAAAAGAAATTGGAAGGAATAAATTATATAAAATCTGAATTCAGGAAGTAGACTGAATTACATTGGCAGGTAGTAACACTGAGAGCAGGAAAAGAATGCTCATCTTTGAGATGGGTGAAATGCTTAGCCTTAAAAGCTTTAAGCTTTAGTATGTAAAATTAACTGAAGTTTATGTGAAAGGGAGTGGTATTTGACCACAGGCTCAACATGAAAAACTAAGGGAGCAGTAAGACCGTGCTAGATCCAGTCATTTAGACATAGTCACCAGAGCCTAGTATGTGTCAGGCAAAGGACCATTTGCTCAAGGCATAATGGTAAGACATTCTATACTTTAAAGACCTCTCATACAAAACAATTGTCTGCAGGTATTCAATGTCTTGAGTCTAGGTCAATTCTGCCCTTTATGAATTCCCATACTTTATATAAGCTCTTAACACCAAAGAATATTGATCAGGATTGTGGAAGAGCTTGACTGAAAACTGGATTATTCAAAGAATAGTTTAATGAACTGCTATTCTTCAGGCTACAAGGAAGAACATGGGTTTTCTCATTAGTGGAATAGTGTTCAAGCCGAAAAGAGATTAATTTTGGTTTGGATGGTCCCCGGAGATAAACTGGATGGAAATTTCAGGAGATAAAGCTTCTCAGTTTAGTTTACATCAATCCAATTTAATTATCCCATTAATGGTATCTAATAAGTGCCAAGGGTTTACCAGAGTTGATGAAACTCCTGTTTCCATAGAGACACTATGTTGTTATTATTTTGATCTTCAAAGCTGCAGCCTAATGTGGCATAAAAATGTTGTAGGGAAGACAGATGTATGCAATGATCTGCACTTTCTAGATAGCCATATTTAAATAAACTAACTTGGTTGAGAAAGTGTTTTCATAACATGGTGTGAGAGTCCAAAGAGAAGCTAAATCTAAGAAGGAGTGTGGGGTTCTACTTCTGATCATATCACAAACAGCCTATGTGACCTCAGGTTTCAGTGATAACATCCAGAAAATGACAATATTGAACTGGATGGCTTTCAGTCCTGTCTCCACTTCATGATTCGATTCAACTTTTATTTTGTCGTCATATTTTTGGACAACCAAAAAATATAATTAAATCTATTCTTGAAGGACAAGACAGATTAGATGATTCTTAGGAGAGGCCAACAGATATAATATGTACTCAATTTGAGAATTTCAAATTGAATGGAAAAAAAGTCATTTGGAAAGAATAATCCTTCATATCCATGCACTGGAAAATATATTAGCTCTAGCGCCTAACTAGATTTCAAAAGTTATAAGGAAGACTTCCCGTTGAGTCTAAGCTGCAGGCAAACAAGATATGCTAAGGGCTTTCTGAGAATAAATCAAATTTAATGTACACTAGGGGATGGGAGCAATAGGCATAAAATAAGGAAGTGATGACTTAAATAAATGACAGAAATTTTCACTGAAGCAATTTTTGGTAGTTTTATTTCAGGGAAGAAAAGGTGGCCACTAAAATCCAGCAGGATTCTTGTTGATTGTTCCAAGTGAACAATGGGCACAGATGATATTTACAGAATCATAAAAATCAATCTAGTAATGTCCCCACCAGTATTATAAAAATACACATGCAATTGTCATGTGAAAGTAGTTACAGAATGTGGAAAACTCTAAAGTTGGGCCTTCGGTGAATAACATCTTGGATCTGTATGTTTCAAAGTAGAGGTAAAAAGGAGTTAATATCTTTAAAAGCAATTTGAGTCATGAGGCATTTTTCAGTGTGTACTCTTTGGAAAGATATCATAGATTTGGGAGAACATGTAGTCAAGTGATAAAGCAGATGTAGAGAAAGCCAAGAAAATACAGTTATTCTCTCTAGACTTCCAACACTTTTGAGGAGAACTATCCCTCTGAAAAGTTAATTTCAACTAAGGTTTCCATCCCACCAATGGAGGGAGATTATGGTCCAGATGGCAGAGTGACAGGTGATATATCTTATTGCCTGAGAGGGAGTTTTTCAGGAGGCCGTAAATTCTTAGCCAATGTTTAACAGTAGTGATATATGTAGGGACTAACAATTCAGGAAATAATATTCATTGGTTTTGCAACTGAATTTCCACAAACCCAAATAAACATCTCTCACCTGGGCTCTTAATTCAAATCTGAAATAGAAATTGCTAAAACGTGATATTCCAGGCTGTAAATCCTAAATGGTTGCACTGCCTCCTGGCTTACCACCCTTTCACCCCAGCTCCCACCCTTATGGATCAATAACAACCTCTCTGCTAGAAAAATACAGGCAGATGGAAGTGATGGCACTACCTCTGAGGGTAAGCTGTAAAGTGAATGCTTTTGCCTCCGTTACCCTTCTTTCCTGAATATCCCCTCAATAATTAAACAATGAGACATAGAGCTCCATAACACTAGAGAAATACTGGCCCTGCTCTTGCAGGCCATACAATCTAACAGGAGGTAATGTTCCATTTAATTCTCTTGCCCAAGGAGACCTAAGTCTAGGTTTTCTCATCTATATAATTAAGAGGTTGCTCTAGAGGACCTCAAAGTCTATAAAAAGTTGGAGACAACTTATAGTCCATGAATTCGGGTTGAATGAAACTTGCAGAGCCCAGATCTAGGGATACGGGGCTGAGCGGTGATAGGGTCCTGGCCCCAGCACTCTCAATTCCTGGAGTTCCCTCTGCCAGTAGACTAGGGATCCCTAGGTTCTGACAATCCCCTGGCCCAGAGGTTTGCACCCTGGGCACATTGCACACACACACAAACTTTTTGAGTATCTTGGTCCTTCAGGACAAGGGTAGGTAGCCCAAAATGTCCGCTGTCCTTTATTATTTCATTTTACTGAAGGAGCAGTAGCTGGGCCCCAGGCCTGAAATTTCCATTTCACTTAGTCAAAATGAGAAAGAAATTTAATACTGCTTGCTCTAATATTTGCTTCCTGAAGAACAGCTTTTAGGATTCTTAAGCACAAGAAACTTGACCTGATAAAGGAACTATATGCTTTGCCACTTTTCTGAACTGTACTGTGAATGTTAATAGACAATAAAACTGCCTTCTTCCATTTGACCATGATAGTACCCCCATATTTAATATTTCTGAAATCCTATAAAAACTTTGAATGTGTGTGGTACAAAAGGATATAACGATAAAGGCATAAAGAAAATATGACCTTTTGAACTTTAAGTTTTTTTTGTACTTGCTAATCTGAAGCTATATTATGACAGGTAAAATTATATAATACTTGGGTTTAATTGTTCAGAAAGATATTTTTGAAAACTCTTTTCCGTGTCTATTTAAAAGAGAAATAAGAGTCAAAAACTTAGGCACTGATACTTTGCTTAAAATACTGGGAAATCTCATATGAGATTCTGGGCATTCTGTTGCCTTTTAGGTTCTTCCTTGCCTCTGCCTTAAATTCTGTGTTTGCACGGTTCCTAATACAAAAGTGTATGACACAGTTTCAATATCAGAATATTTAACTGAGGCCATTTTTTCCCCACACCTTTACTTGTCCAATGAGAAAAATAAATGGCCTTAAGGAAGAAAAGGGGCTGCTGGTTAATTCCTTTTTCTAACTGACCTCCGGATCTATTTCCCACCAAAAGTGCAGTAAACTATGTAGTAAGCTGAATTTTATTGATTAAGTTCATTTACTATCAAATAAAGTATATTCATTAAAATGCAGCCACTTTCAATTTCATTTTATGGAGCTCCTGCACAGTCAGCCAGATGATATAAAAAATGCCAAAGAAGAACATTCCCGAGTTTAACTGATCTATTATGAAGAAGCTGTTGAGGATGAGGACAAATGATTTAATGCCTCCACACTCGATGTTCTCATAAAGAAGGAAACATAAAGAGGGGAGTGGGTTTGCTTATTCATTTTGGTTTGAACAGTTTACAAGGACTGATTGTACTCAGACTGCTTGTTAGCATTTGTATTCAGGCAGGCCAATAGAATGAATTTTGTAATTGGGTGCTTCCATTTTAATTTGGCTTTGAAATGCATTTTGGTACTATCCCTATTGCAGAGGTATGCCTTTTATTATTGCAACTGGCTTTTTGAGACTATTGACATATTCCATGATTAAATATGGATATGTACCCATGCCAATGTTTATCTCTCAATAGGTAAATCTAGCATGGAAATGCTCTTTTGAAATGCAGAGTTGGCACATTAAATCATTCATTCACATCAATCTGGGCTGCCCCAAATTTGTTTTACCCAAAACAAATCCAAACCCAAACATCTAAATGATATCATGGTAATTAACCTCAATCCCAAGGCAGACAGTGTTGGCTAAGGGACTCATGGCTGTTATTTGGGAGGGAGAAAATATTGGTAAAGTGGGACTTATGAATGTTTCCTTGTACAGACCCTTAGCACCTTCACTTGCAGCAAAGCAAAGTTCCCACCTGAGTGTAACAGTAGCCCATACATCTAGTGGTGCTGCTGCTTATATAGAAGCAACTCTCTTCCTTCTGTACTGCAATGGTAATGTTGGTCAGCTCAAAGCTATTGCTTCAGATTGCTTTTCAGCAACAGGAAAGGAAACAAAACATCCTGGGCTGGGAAGCAAAAAATTATAAACCCAAAGCACTGCAACTATTACAGACACTGGCCTAGCCAAACTGAACTGAAATTAGCGCTCCCCAAATTCCACAATCATATTTAGCTTCAGCAAGTGCTTTTTGGCAAAAGAGAAACACATTACAGGTCAGAACTTCCCATATAATTAAGTGGAGATTTTTTCAAGGATTAAAATGCCAAAGAGGATTATTTTAATATGAAAGTAATTAGTATGGAGCAAGGCAAATGTTGTTATAAGTGTCCCCTTCATTCTTAGTTTTAATAACTATTTTGATTTTACTAAAATACATTTTATGCATAATTCATTTTTTTGTTTTTTAGTTTAACCAAAATATAGACATATACTTTTGTTCACATTTGATTACTTAAAGTATATTTTAAAGGCCACATTAACTGGTCTATAAAATCAGTTGCTTGCTATTCCTACTTGTAATATATACATAAATTTTATTTAAGAAATAAAATTGGCATGCCTGGACTCCCTACAAAACAATAGTGAAAAGCTCTTCACTGAGAGTCTCAATTTTTTTAGGTCCTTCAAATAAGTAATTTCAAAAATAAGCATCCCCACTTGATACCTGTAGAATCAGAGACCTGTAGTCTACTGGCTTGGCTAGGAATGATACAGACAGAGGCAAGTCTCAAGTTTACCATATAAAAATCACATGTACCTAACATCTGATGGATTTATTGGGTATTAAAATGTTCTGGGGTTTAACCGTTGCTTAAATGAGCAAGTCTTTAAATAGATAAAATGATCAAACCTTGTTAGACCTGCCTAAACACAATATATTAAGAAAAATAATGCTAAAATAGATAATCTTTCAGAATTCTATTCAATATAATAGCACATCCTCTCCTTTCCTTGCTAGTTTAAACATGACTGCAACTTTTCCTTTGGTGTCTTTAATCTGGTGAACTCAGAATCCCTTCTATGCATTGCTTTTGGCCATGTTGAGAATGGTAGGTCATAAAGATGAATAATAAATTTCCCAAAGATCAGATTGGAATTTTATAATCTGCCTCCATCTGCATCACTGGCCTTACCATATTCCTTCCTTAGGCTGCTTTCCCCATTGGCCTGCCTAATCCCAATCCTACTTGCCAATTTAACCACAGATCATTACTCTGTCTTTAATCTCCTATATGTGCTGTTGATTCATTCCTCCTCATACCTACTATGGAGCCAAAGCCTTCAAAGAGAAGGAACAGCATGTAAAGACTTTGTGCTTCATGACCCCATGTCAGGCACGGCCTTATCTCTAACTGTACCTGAAGCAAGGGAGCCAAGTGAAAGAGAGCCTTCGTCATTCCCTTCTCCTCAGATTGCCTTGGCACCTAGTCATACACCTGCTGTGTTGTAGTAATTTGTTTTCTTGTCTGTTTCTGTGGTGGATTGTAATATACTGTATGTGAAGGCATGAGTGATACTTACACATGCATGGTTTTGGCATCTCGCAAAAGCTGCACATAATAGGCACATCATTAATGTTGATTAGTAAACAAAACTAAAGCTACAAGTATGTAGCAAACCATTAGAAATGGACATATATGGACAAATAAATATCTATTTACAGCTAGAGAATGAACTTATAATTAAATTGCACATAGTGTTTATTAATCAAATTATACACGTAATTTCTGAAAAAATATATAGCTCCTTCCAGTTTTTCTAAGTAGTGTCAAATATGGTTATAAAATTATATCTACTTTTATTATGAAATACACTTTTTAAATTGTATATGTATATTATTTAATTATATTGGGTTTAATTTACTCTTTCTAATTTCCTAAGGTGAAAGCTTATATAATTTATTTTATGCCTATTTTATTTTATTACATAAGCATTTAAGGACAATCACATCTAATTTCATTCAGTGCCACTTTAAATGCATCTCAAAATCTTAATTCATGTTGAGTTGTTATTATCTTTCCATTAAAAATATTTTCTGTTTTTCTCATGCTTTCTTCTTTGACCCATGGATCATTTGATTTGGAGGCAGGTAGCTTAATTTCCAAATTTTGGAAGATTTTAAAGATTTTTTAAATTGTTGATTTGATTGTTTAATTTCATTGTGTCTTAAAAACATACTTCATGTAATTTCTGTCAACTTAAAAATGTTGAGGCATATTTCATAGCTTAGCCTATAAAATATTATCTCATTAAGTGTTTGGATGCACTTGTGAAGAATGTGCATTTCACTCTTTGGGGGGGGTGAAATGTTTTACACACATCAATTAAGTTAACTTGATTGATAGTGTTATTTGACTCTTCTATATACTTTCTCATTTTCTGCCTCCTTGCTCTATTAATTACTGAGAGAGTAATGCAGAAATTTTCAATAACAATTGAAAATTTTTTAAAAATTGAAAGAAAAGTCTTTTTTTTAAGTCTATTGGCTTTTTTTTTTTTTTTGAAGGAGTCTCACTCTGTTGCCCAGGCTGGAGTGGCGCAATCTCTGCTAACTGCAACCTCCGTCTCCCAGGTTCAAGTGATTCTCCTGCCTCAGCCTCCCCAGTAGCTGGGATTACAGGTGCCCGCCACCATGCCTGGGTAATTTTTTTTTTTTTGTATTTTTAGTAGAGACTGCCCCTCACCCCCACCCCACCACCTGGTCTGTGGAAAAATTGTCTACCAGTCCCTGGTACCAAAATGGTTGGGGACCACTCTTATAACAGTATACTTCCATTTTTCTCCATCCCCATCTTTGTGCCACACAGCAGGAGATGAATAATGGGCAAGCAAGCATTACCATCTGAGCTCCGCCTCCTGTCAGATCGGTGGTGGCATTAGATTCTTATGGGAGAGCAAACCCTATTGTGAGCTGCACATGTGAGGGATGTAGGTTGCATGCTCCTTATGAGAATCTAATGCCTGATGATCTGTCACTGTCTCCCATTACCCCCACATGGGACTGCCTAGTTGTAGGAAAACAAGCACAGGGCTCCCACTGATTCTATATTATGATGATTTGTAATTTCGTTATACATTACAGTGTAATAATAATAGAAATAAAATGCACAATAAATGTACTTGAATCATCCCCAAACCATCCTGCCCTTCACCCCCACCCCACTACCCAGTCTGTGGAAAAATTGTCTTCCATGAAACCAGTCCCTGGTACTAAAATGGTTGGGGACCACTGTTATCACAGTATACTTCCATTTTTCTCCATCCCCATCTTTGTGTTATTGTCATTTATTTTACGTCTACATTGTCCTAATCCCCCATTACATTATTATCGTTGTTCTAAATAGTCAATTATATATTTTTAAAATAAAACATGTAGAAAAATCATTTCTATTTACCCATATATTTACATTTTTAACACATTATGTCATTTCCCTACTGATATAAAATAATGATAATATTGTGTTCCTAATAAACATCCTTTCAAATTCTTTGACATGCACATTTTCTAACAATACATTCTCTCAACCTTAACTTTATTAAAAATAACCTAACTCCATAAAGTTGGGAACAGTAGACACTGGGGACAAATAGATGGAGGAGAAAGGAAGGGAGGCAAAGGTTGAAAAACTACCTGTGTACTATTCTCACTCCTTGGGTGATGGGATCAATTGTACCCTGTTTAGAGAAAAACTCTCTCTACCTGTGTTCTTCCTGTACTCCCATACCATAAGAATCATCAACATAGAAGACTTCTGTGACCACATGTGTCGGGATTTTTCCCCACACACCAAACAGCAGGCACCAGCTGGGTGTCCTGTAATTCAGTTCTGACACTATCTACCCAGAGATGGTGTCAGATCCCATAGGTGGAGGGCTCAGTCCCCAAGACTATCCCTCTGTCCCAGCACCCCTGTCACAAGTCTCTAGAACTTCTGCCTGACTGGCTTCAAGTTGGGGTGCTCCCTCTTTGGGTTCAATTAATTTGCTGGAGCAGCTCACAAAACTCAAGGAAACACTGACATTTACCTGTTTATCATAAAGGATATTGCAAAGGACACAAATAAAGAGACGCATAAGGTGAGGTATGGAAGAAGGGGCGTGGAGCTTCCATGTCCTCCCTAGGTGTGCCACCCTCCAGGAACATCCATGTGTTCAGCTATCCAGAATCTCACTGAACCCTGTCCTCTTGGGTTTTTATGGAAGCATTTCTTTCCTCAGGCTGTAGGATGGGACCTTCTCATGAGAAGGTCTTAAGATCCACAATCAGAAAGGCAGAGGAACGTTAGAGTCCTGCTTTGGGGCAGGTGAAGGGAGGGCAGATCAGAGGCCTGCCCCTGAGACTTAACATACCCAAACTTATAATAAAAGATTGTAAAAAGGGCTATGAGAGTTATGAGCTGGAAACCATGGACGAAAACCAGTGTATAATCATAATACCACATACCCCCAAACTCAGCATCATGCAGTATACCCACATAATAAACCTGTACATGTACCCTCTGAATCTAAAACAAAAGTAGAATTTTTTGAAAAAAAGTCCTAACTCAATTTTTGAAGGATTCTTTTGCTGGTTATAGAATTTTAGGTTAGCAAGTTTATTATTTGTTCATTGGTTGTTTTATTTCAGCACTTTATCTTCTTTGTTTCCATTGTTCTGAAGAGAATACTGTAGTCTTATATATTTTCTCCTTCTCAATATAATGTGTCTTTTTTCCTCTGACTGCTTTTAAGATTATGTCTTTATCACTAATTTGCAGTAGGCTTTGCTGAACTTATGCTAATTTATGACATACCTTGGTGTGGTTTTCTTGGGGTATATCCTTCATGGGTTTCAGTGAGTTTCTTTAATATATAGGTTTATAGTTTATCAAATTAGAAAAAATTTCAGGTATTATTACCCAAAACTTTTTTTTTCTGCCTATTTTTCCACACTTCTTCCTCCTTCTCCCTTCAGAGATGCAACTTATGTGTCGTAGATAGCTTCCTATTGTTCCCTAGGTCACTGAGTCCATGGCTTTAAAAATTTTTTTTTCTTCTTTGCTCTATAGTTTGGCTTTTTGCTATTGCTATGTTTCAAATTTACTGATCCCTTTTTATGCAACATCTAATCTGATCATAAGCCCATCCAATAAAATTGTCATTGTAGAAGTGTATTTTGCAGTTCTAAAAGTTCCATGTGTTTTTTTATATAGCGCATTTATTTCCTTATTATGTTTATTTTTTCCCTTAATTTTTTGATATTTATAACTTTTAAAGTCTTTAACTGCTTCCTTTATCCTCTCTTCATTTCTTCTATTTATAGATCGTATTTTATGCTTTTTGGTATGTTTAATACTTCTGATTTACTCTTGGTTCTATTTCTCAAAATTTTTGGAACTCAGAAAGAGATGTGGAGTGAAATTTTGGAGGGTCTTGTAGGAAGCCAATGTTGGCCAACCTAAGAGTCACTGGCAAAGTAGATCTCTTTAGCTGAGTGGAGATCTCTGGTAAGGAACAAATTCCCTGTATCTCTAGTTATAATTTTAACCAGAGACTAAAGAATATCTACTTCAAATGGACAAGTTCAACAATGCAGTAAATATTAGATACCCAACACCCTTAGAGAAAGCAGGAATAAATAATATTTATTGAGCAGCCACTAAGAGCCAGGTTCTGTGGTGAAATTATTTACATAATTTCATTTAGTACTGAAGGATGTGGAATCGGGTGGAAAGTCTAGAAGATGCCATTTGCCTTGATTAATCTTTTCTGGTTTGTGAGAAAAGGGTAAAAAATCAATTCTTTGTCATGAAACATAGTCTTCTAAAGGGAATTATTACTCTAAATGGACCACCTCAAGGCAAAGAACAAAGGGTTTTCCTAGTTTCTTTCTTAGGTAAATGATTCTTCTAATACTAATTCTGAATGCTGCCTCTTGAATAGCTTATAGTTTAGAGATAGAAAGAATATTACAGATAATGAAGCCCTGGTACTGGATTCTTTTTAGAGAGGAGGAACAGATCCAGAAGGTTAAGGCAATTGCCCAAGATCACAGTGCCATCTAGTAGGAGATCTGGAATGAGAAGTTCAGTCTTTGAGACTTTGCCTGGTGCTCATACTGCTCTGCTCTGCTGTCCTTTCACCAAGCAGTTACTGAAAACAGTTGACCACTTCCACCATCTATTTTTAGGGTTATCTTCTTCTGCTGGATGGATAAACACTCAGAACCCCAAAGCAGTGTTCTAAGGTGAGTCCTTCATTTAGTAACTATTTATTTCTCAGAAGCTTATGCCATTCTTACCATTCCTACAAATTAGCACCTACTCTCTTTCCTTTGGGATGCCAGGCATCACACAGCTACCCAATGGCAGCTACAACTTGTCTTTTTGACAAGACAGATAGTATTTCAGCAGAATTATGTTCCGTAGCATCAATCACCCTGACAGGATATATGATAATAATTGGGAGACTCACCATGTGCCCCATTACACTTTTAAGTTGTTTATCGAGATTTATATTTTTCCTATTACCCTGTCTTGTTGTCAATTTGTTGAAATTCTCCAATGATGTAATCATTTCTTAAGTGCTTTGCCTCTGGTATATCTAAAGAAATTAGTCAGTGTGTATAGTTGCTGCCATTTATTTTGGAATGATTTGAGAATCATCTGGGACTAAGGACCGGATCAAATGTCACCTTCTCTGAGGGTGTATTGAGAAACTGTTCTTGATACCCCCAGACTGGACCAGATGCTCACTTTTTGGCGCCTGTGTACACTGCACTTCCCTCTATCAGAACCCTCATCCCTCTACACTATTATTGTTTCTTTATGAGTTTTTCTCCTTTGTTATAAGGTAGGTTCTTTTAAGACAGATTTTTTTTTTTTGTAGTCAGACACACCTGGGTTCAAGTCCTGACTCTGTCACTTACCAGCAGTTCATTTTGTGGCAGTTACTTAAACTATCTGAATTTCAGCTAGCTCATCTGTAAAATGGGCATAATGATACACTCTTGCAGAGAAGTTTTAAAGATTAATGGAGGACATGTGTATAAAGTACACAGCATAGAATTGTACAAATGAAGCATTCACTAAGTGAGAGCTAGCATTATATTTTTTAAATTATTATCCCATGGCAAAGCACAATGCCTGTCACAGGGTGGATGTTAAAAACAAATGCATGTTGAATAAACAGATGACCACCAATATTACTTAAACTCTTCCTGTGTGATGCTGTTTTCCATATTATACCTGATATTATAGTTATGTTTACTTGCCTCAGTATCTTTCCTCTTGGAGTTTTTAGTCCAAGAGAGGAGATGTTGATTTTATCCTTGCCAAATGGAAAGGTAGATGTGAGATAAGTGAGAGAGGCTTAATGTATATTTTTCTGGCTTCTACCCAGCCTCTCCCCTAACCGCAAAAGATACTAGATGCCCTTTAGAAAGTCAGCTCAAGTACCCTCCACAAATGCTTAACAGTTAGAAACTCCAGGCTACAATCAGCAGGGCTCAGAATAAGTGCCAGAGCCAGTTTCTGAGCCTTGAGGGTAGATTGTCCCTTCTGAGAACTGACTGGGGCAGGTCTCATATTTTCTGGTACACGATAAAATTGCTATGCTTGTTTTAAAAATACTGAAATACATATTTTCCAGGGGAAAATATTATATTTCTGCCCTTAGCTCCTTAAATGACCCCATGCATGTGCACCCTGGCCACCACAGACCCTCTCCAGGATCTCCTCAACCTTTTCAAGGTCCAGCAACTTAAGAATTATTCCTTGTCATGGCAAAGGGCCTCCAGGACTGTATCCATTCTAGTTGCTTGGTGTCTGCTTACCAGCTGCTAAGTAGTTTGATAGCACCTTTTTGCACAAGTAGCTGCTCTCTGACCCCCTTCTTGGTCTTGCGGGTTTTGCACAGGTAGCTGCTCTCTGACCCCCTTCTTGGTCTTGCGGGTTTCTTCTTCTCTTTGCATCTGGCTTATAATCTGTTTTGGTCCTGCCAGCTCCTGGGACCACCCTTCCCTACCATCCTCAGCTCTCCCCAGTCCTCCTCTGTCTAGTCTAGCCTTGGCACCCTCTGCATATGGTATGTCTGGCAATGATTGAAGTCTCCTCGCTTGATCAAAGGCTCTTCTCAAACCTCATGTTAAGTGTACAACTTAGCCTTTAATTGTGGGCTCTGCCTCTTGGGGTAGGTTAACCAGGTATTCTGTGTATACTGGACATGTCCTGTATGTAATGATTTTGACTTGTATCTTACAATGATTTTGTCAGGATATTTAAATGTCCTTATTTCAGCTTTTATAGAAAAATACAGCAATTAGCTATTTTTCAAATTTAGCTGAGTTTCTTGCTTTTTTTTGCCTCCCTAAGATCTGGTAACGTTACCTTCCTACTGTGAGGAACACAATTTTACCCTCATTTTCCTGCATGGTTTTTTTTCAGTCTCTGGACTGATGTTTTTTTTCCTTCTGTCTAAGATGCTACATGTTATACAAACTAGGGGTCTGCACTAATTCCCTGATAATTAGGACGCAAACAATAGTTACTGAATAAATGAACAGGTGAATGAAAGAAAATAGTTTGCCCCATAGGATCTCTTTCCCTTTAGGATCTCATTTAGAATACAGCAGGGCCTTTGAATCTGAAAAAATAGTAGCTATACTGGAAGCTAAACTCTATCAGGAGGAAGCCATACTGCTTTTATACTGCCACTGCTCTCTATATTTAATTATATTTTGTTTTTCTCTTAGCAATTAGTAAAGTGCCAGTCTGTGTCAGATGTGGTTCCAAGAGAAGATGTTTTTGTCCACACTTGAGCCAAAGTGTTAAAGGAATAGCAGCACACTTAGGGTGGGAGGTGGGGGAGAGTGGAGATGGAAAGTAATTAATATTTATTGAGCAACCATCATGTACTTTTTTAGACATGATCTCATTTTATCCTCACAGCAACCCTGCAAAGTATATTCTAAATAAAGAATCAGGTTTAGCCAGGCTAGGTAACTTGCTCAAATCCTAGAGTTAGTAAGTGGAAGAACTTGGATTTAAACCGTGGTCTTTCCACACAAAAGCATCCTGCCTCCCATTTCTAGGAGTATCATGGTGGCTGGTGATAGCAGGAGTGATCAAAGCCAGAGAACTCAAGGGGAAGGTAACACCTTAAGACGGTGTCAGACCCACCCATTCTCTATCTCTTCCCCTCTCTATCTCTCGTTTCTACCTTCCATTTATTCATTTATATTATATTTACTGAGGACCCCTTGGCAGCAGGCATAGTTCTAGATTCTCTGGATCATGATGAGCTGATAAATAAGATATACATAGTCCCCGATCTTGTACAGTTATAGTCTAGGATTTATTACAGATATTGAAAACTGATTTCAAGCATGATGTAATTGTTAAAGTTATTTTGGAAATATGTAAGAAGATAATAGAGTATGGCAGTTGTTGGAGAGGTGGGGATCAGCAAAGGCCTCATGGAGATAGGAATATGTGGGTTGCAATGTGAGAGATAAGAATTTAGCTATGCCAACAGTTGGAGACGTGTTGTTTCAGGCAGAGGAAACTGCAAGAGGACAAAGATGTGATGCATTCATGAAAATGTAATATGATTGGCTTATCTTTCAAAAGAGAAAGCTGGAGAATCCCAGACTTCTTTCAATTAAGGAAGCCATCTTGTTACAATAGGAAGAGGTCATGAGCCCTGAGTGCTCAGGAAAGTATATTACATAGAGAAATATTTGGGTAGAGAACAGGGCAACCATACAGGCTTTTTTGATTACAAGCACCTGAAGAAGGCAGAGGCAGAAAGTAAGAATAATTAAATGAGCAAATGAAGAAGTGAGGGACTGAGGGGACACTTAAGGTTGGCTCATTTGATAAAAAAAATCTCCAACTGCAGTGGCAGCTCTGACGTTGCCGGTTTTGAAACTGCATTTGGAATGAGAAGACAGCGAAATTGTAAAAAGCCACTTTGCTCTGGCAAAGACTATAAGTGGCAGTTGGAATTGTGATCAAATTCAATCTCCCTAATTCTGTAGTTATAGACTGTTTTCCAAAAGTGTAGGTAGGTAGGCTGATTAAACTACAGGCTCTAAAATAGCCAAATGCTTCCTCCAAATGTTTAATATCCAAGCTAGGCCCTTCATCACAAAATACTTTCTGTATTAAATATTAATTGAAATAATTTCATTTTGCGGATTCAATACTTAAAATATCAATTTAGATGATGGATCATGAACTTTAAAGCTGGAAGAAACAGTAAATGTATCTCTCTCCCTACTGCCTGCATTGACAGCTGAGGGAGCTAGAATCCAGGGAGATAAGTGAGTGTCCAGGATTAAAGCCAGGTTATGAAGTTAAACTGGGATATTGCGTTTTTTTCAGATTAAAAAGAAAAAAGAAAATCAGGTGGATAAAGAGCCTCAGGTCTAACTGAATTGTCAACTAATGGTATGTGGAAATTTCCTGATATTTTCTTGCTTTGACAAATATTTATTTTTCTGGCTTTTAACTCTAACAAAATCTTCAGACTAAAGTGATTGTTGCTATTAGAAATCTGGGCCAGGTGCGGTGGCTCAAGTCTGTAATCCCAGCACTTTGGGAGGCCAAGGCAGGTGGATCACGAGGTCAGGAGATCGAGACCATTCTGGCTAACATGGTGAAACCCCATCTCTACTAAAAAAAAATACAAAAAAATTAGCCGGGCGTGGTGGCGGGCACCTGTAGTCCCAGCTACTCGGGAGGCTGAGGCAGGAGAATGGTGTGAATCCAGGAGGCGGAGCTTGCAATGAGCTGAGATCATGCCACTGCACTCCAGCCTGGGCTATAGAGCAAGATTCTGTCTCAAAATAAATAAATAAATAAATAATAAAAAAATAAAAAAGTAGAAATCTGAATGACATCCTATTAAAAGTGTGTGTGTATGGGGGAGGACTTTTGTAAACATGGCAAGTTTAGTTAATTATGAGTGGTGGAATATTCCAGAATCTTCTCCCCTTTGTGCCGTGAGAAAATGCTTCATAAGATGTAGAATCCTAAGAAAGTAGTGTGCCTCTCCTTTTTGTTCAACCCATAGTAAGCAACTACTTTGATCTGTTGCATCCTGGGTACGAAGTGTTGTAGTTGGGGTGGGATGTAGAGACATACTTCAGTCTCAGGAAATTTACCATTTAGATGACAATTTTGGTAACGACTAGACAAAAATGAATGTCTGTATTGGAGTATGAAAGGGGCAAATGCAATTGCTAGTAGAGCTGGAATGGATATTTTTGCAGTGCAGGCTTGGGAGTAAAAAAAAGTGAGCAATCAACAACTGGTACCTAGAACTATTTCTCCCTTTGTCAGGGAGAAGGGAGTTGAAAAGTGCATAAATAAAGCCAGGTAAGACAGTGCAGTTGCGCTCTGACTTGAAGTTAGGAGGGGGTTGGAGGAGTTATTCAGAACTTTTCCTAACTTCAGGATTCAAGTCATTCCATGTCTCTGTACTAAGAAAAGACTGGGTGATGGAAATAATGTAACATATTTGCCACACTCACAAGAGATTATATGGACTGATGCCCAGAAACCCATTAGTAATAGCTAAGTAAGTGTCTCTCTGTCCCCGTAGGCCTACTGGCAGACATTGCTAATCAATCATGACATTCTTTTCCCCTCTGAGACTTAGAATCTTTCTCAACACCACATTCCAAGCAAACACTAACAAATGTTATAAAACTGAGCTCCAATCCTTGTGCTAAGTTATATGGTAAAGGGACATCAGCAGTGCTTGGAGTAGCCCAAAAGAAGAGATGGCGTGACCTGGGCTTTGAAGGATGGGTTCAATTTGAGCAAGCGGAGAAGAGTCTTGGGAAACAGCACCATAGACACTTAAGTGTAGAGAAGGTAATGAGTGTGGCAGTTGGGAGGAGACTAAAGATGCTGACCTACATAGAGGAAAGGGTCTGTGTAGGAATAGGAAGAAGTAGAGTTGGACAAGAACAGTAAGTCGGGATATGCCAAACATTCTAAAAAATTGTTGTGATTGGAAATAGGGTGTTATTATAGGCTGATACAGAATTGCTGAATTGTGATGTGGTAAAAGTGGTGATCAAGCTCCTCAGGAGAACAAGGCACTGGAGTTAGGGAAGCCAGCTAAGGCAGATATTAAAGGAATGCAGGAGTGAGGTGAGGATGCCCTATTCTGAGGATGATGGACAAAGGCTGGAAGAAATGCAACTCATACTTTTATTCACCAAATATGTATTGAGTATCATTTCTGTGCTGAGCACTAATCTAGGGGCTGGCATACAGCTGAAAGCAAGACAGATAAGATCACTACTTACTGGCATTTACACTGTAGTTAGGGGAGACAGACAAGAAACATGTTGGTTTATTTCAGGTACCTCTTATCATGGTATCTCTTATTTTTATAAATAAAACTGAATAATACGGCAGAGAGCTATGGAAGGGGAGGGTGCACTTTAGATTTAGCAGTCAGGAGAGGCACCTAAGCAGATGACACTTGAGTTGATACCTCAGTGATAAGAAGGAGCTTGATATGGTTTAGCTCTATGTGCCCACCTAAATCTCATCTTGAACTGTAGTCCCCATGTGTTGAGGGAGGGACTTGTAATTCCCATGTGTTGAGGGAAAGAAGTGATTGGATCTTGAAGATGGTTTCCCCCATGCTATTCTTGTAACAGTAAGTGAGTTTGCACGAGATCTGTCATATTAATTAGTGTTTGGAAGTTCCTCCTTTGTGCTTCTCTTTCCTGCCAACTAAGGTCGGCAGCACGAAGGTGCTTGCTTTCCCTTCACCTTCAGCCATGATTGTAAGTTTCCTGAGGCCTCCCCAGCCATGTGGAACTGTGGGCCAATTAAACTTCTTTCCTTTATAAATCACCCAGTCTTGGGTACTTCTTTATACCAGTGTGAAAATGGACAGAGCTACCATGGAAAGACAGGGGTATGAACTCTGTAGGTGGAGAACCCAGTAAGTGGGAAGGTTCTGAGGCAGGTAAACCAGGCTGTATGGTCACCTGTCCTCTGAGGTCCTATCTGCATTGGTCTTAACACCTCTTGATCTCATCTTTACCACTTGTCCTCTTCACCCATCCTTCTGGGCCACACAGACCTCCTAACTGATTCTCAGACACATGAAACATGAGGTTCTTTCTCCAGATAGCTTCACAGCTCATTCTTTTTTTTTTTTTTTTTTTTGAGACAGAGTCTTGCTCCATCACTCAGGCTCGAGTGCCATGATGCAATCACAGCTCACTGCAGCCTCCACGTCCCAGGCTGAAATTATCTGCTCACTTCAGCTTTCCAAGTAGCTGGGACTGCAGGCATGCACCACCACGCTTGGCTATTTTTTAAAGTTTTCTATAGAGATGAGGTCTTGCTATATTGCCCAGGTTGGTATTGAACTCCTGGGCTCAAACAATCTTGCCTGCATGTATTGAAGGAAGTGTTGGAATTACAGGCATGAGCCACCATGCCTGACCTCATTCTTTTAGTTCCTGTAGGTCTCCATGCAAACACCATCTTATCGGAGAAGGCTTTCCTGAACATTTTATGTAAATTGTATTTCACTCACTTCCACTCCTAGTCCCCTTCCATGTTTTATTTTTCTCCATGGCACTTATTTTTCTTCATTGCGCTCCATTATTTCTTTTGATTTTGTTCCATGGTACTTATCTTCTTATATTCTTGCTTATATATGTATTATTTTTTTTCTTCCTACTAGAGTGAGGGTTCCATGCATGAGGCAGGGAAATTTTTCTGATCACTATTGTATTCCCAGAACCTAAAACAAGGTCTGGCACATGGCTTAATAAATACGCGAAAATTAATGCAAGAACTTATGATGAACAGCATTCAGCTGCTTGGTTGTAGCTGTAGCCAGTAACAGCAAAGTCAAAGCTCAGCTCCCTCCCCTGACCCTCTAGAGTCAGTGTTTGTATCCCAAGGCTGTGGCATCTTCAGCTCTTGCAGTTCTTCGTGTTATCCCACCTAAATATGCACATATTCCCGTGTTCCAAAAACTGCTGAACTTGCGTTTTTCCTAAGTACATCTAATTGAACAATCTGTGTTTCTACCTGAGCTTTTTCAATTTATATCCTCTCTTGAAAGCTTGCTATAGTAACAAACACACATTTTTTTTTAAGTTCTTCAGTGGATTTTTCCAAGTCAGGTTAAGAAATATTTCCTAGGAGCTTTATGGTAGACAGCTTGACCTAACCTACATCTCTGCCTCATTCCTCACTATTGTATGTCAGGCCTTTTGTATTTATTCAACAGGAAAGGGACCACTTAGATGTCTCTAGGAATGCCCTGATTTTCTATGTCCTGGTGACTTTCCTGTTTCGTTTCTTCTGTTTTGAATATTCTTGGAAAATTCTGGTAGCCCTTTAATTGTTTAAAGCTCAACTTATGGAACACCACCAAAAGCCTCCTTTGGCTCATTTAAAGAGAGGTGATTCCTTTTTTCTTCATTTTAATGACTGTATTTTATTACATGTTTGACATACTCATCATACTCCATTGCAAATGTTTCCTAAAATATCTCCGCCATTACCCAATGTCCTCTCTAAGGGCAAAGACTACATGCCATCTCCTTTGCTGAATGGTACTTTTCATATATAATAGATAATAAAACATCATAAAAATAAGAAATTGCATGTGAAGATAGCTTAAGTTCTAGAAATAATAGAAATGTTTTAGCCATCCCTAATTTTTATTGATACCACTAACTTCGAAGTGTTTGAAATATGCCACATCTATTCACTACTCTTTGAAACTGAGGAGATGGCACAGAGCAAAGAAGTGCCTATCATTCATATAGTCTCTAATTTCATTACCATATAGAACCTTTGTCCTTATTGATCAGACTGTTATGTTATATGGCTTTATTTTCCACAGGGTCTTTTGCTGCTATGTCTCCTTCAGGGCTCAGCAGATGATACTCCACTTTTTTGCTTGACAAAGTATTTTCACACCCTAACCCACGCAGAAATGGGGTGGTATATCTAACTCATAGGAAACACAAAGCATTAGCACATACAACGTGGTCTATAACTTCCAATACAAAAGGCAGTGTAGCACTGTGATGGAGCAAGGGTTTTGCAACCAGAGCGAGCTTGCCTTAAGTACTGGCTCTGTGATTTTCTTGCTTTGTGAAATAGGGAGCCTCAGAACTTCAGGTTCAGCATATATAAAACAGAATAATTCACTCACAAAGGCAGTTATGAGAACTTGGTACAATTCTTGGCATGTAAACCTTTCAGTACATGGTTGTACCCACTGTTTTCAGGGAGCTTAGGTTTTAATGACAAGACAAAGGTCATGCCTAAAATATTTGGAAAATAATCACAACATTGGGTAATGAAATGTGGTACCCTGAGAAGGTTTGTTTGTGGGCTTGTAATAATCAGAAAATCTTTCCAAAATAGAAAGAGTAATTTGAGAAGGACTATAAAGGATGAGTAGGAATGGACTAGACAGAAATAGATAGACCATCTCAAGAAGCCAATGAAAAGTTAATGGAGGTTGGGTGAACATTAATTCATAAGACATTCAAGCCATGTCCAGTGTACAGAAAACAGAGTCTGTTGCTGCTATTGTTGTCACTTCCCTTGGAGAGGACATGTAAGGCCAGCAGGGAGCCAGGCTCAAAGACAAAGAATAGATGCAGAGAGAACTGGGTTTACAGTCTTCCCTGGTTCCCTCAGGGCTGCGCTTGAAGCTCCCTAAATCCCAGAGCACGAGAGCTATACGTTCTTCCAGCTGTCAGTCCAGATAGAGAATACCTGCAGCTAAGGAGCTATGGGACTTCCATTCAGCCTGGCCTGGTTAACACATGGAACTGGCCTGAGTAAATGCCCTTTGTGTTCAGCTACAGGAAACCCCTATGTCTTATGGAAAAGCTGCTCAAGCTGAGCATCCTTCAATTCCTGCTCAAAGGCAGCAGAAACAAAGATATGTGCATGTGGAAGAATAGAGCATTTAACTACTCTCTGTAAGGTTGAAAAGAAGGAAGGTATGCAAGCATATTTAACACATTGCAATGTTGTAGTTCATGAGGTTTTTCTAAACTAAGTGATTCCTGACCAAATGACAATAAATTCTAAACTTGGGTTGGAGCCAGGCATAGTGGCTCATGCCAGGCGCAGTGGCTCCCAGCACTTTGGGAGGCTGAAGTGGGCAGATCACGTGAGCTTAGGAGTTCGAGATTAGCTTGGGCAACATGGTGAAACCCTGTCTCTACAAAATATACAAAAAAAAAAAAATTAGCTGGGCATGGTGGCATGTGTCTGTAGTCCCAGTTAGTAGGGAGGTTGAAGTGGGGGGATCACTTAAGCCTGAGAGGTTGAGGCTGCAGTGAGCTGTGATCATGCTGCTGCTCTCCAGCCAGGGTGACAGAGCAAGATTCTGTCTCAAAATAAATAAATAAATAAATAAGCAAACTTGGGTTTGAGTGGAGGTATGTGAGATGTAGCAAGATGTCTCTTCAAACAGCCTGCTCAACCTTTTATTCTTTAATTCCCATAATTCCCAATACTGCCCCACCTTTCTTCTCCTTTACTGCTTTCTGACTTTACTACGTGCCCAGGCATACCACAGCAACAGTGACGTTATCAACAGCAGCTCACATTCCTTTCCTTATTTAAAAATAGACTGACTCTCTAGTTTGCTGCAGATGACCCCTTCCTCCTTTCCCCTCTCTCCCATTACACGTCTACCTTATTTAAAAAAGCTTAAATGTTTAGCCAGTCAAGTCTAGTTTAAATTATACAGTCCAACCCCACCACTGGGGAAAAGACACAAAGGCAAAAGTCACGTTAAAAATAAAAACTTCTACTCTCCTTTGTTCTAAGTACTCTAGTAGCAACCAGCCATATGGGAGACACCCTTCTGCACAAAAGTAAATTTGCTTTACAAAAAATCCTTTATCTAAGTGCCCATTTCTCCTTAGGACACTGAGCCTTCTTTCTAACAAGGTGCATGTTCTTAGGTGTATATAGTTATGTAGTAGCTCTTTGTGGCCAACTTCCACGGCAAACATTTTACTATACCTGCTCTCTCCAAGGTCACTAGTCATCTCCAGATTTGAAACTCATGATTTTTCCCATCAGTTCTCAGCCTTCTTGCTCAAGCTGCCTCATTTTCTCTTTCCTTTGACTATTTCCTTTGGGAGATTAAGATAATGCACCTTGTCTTAAAGCTGTTGGCTACTTTTCTTATCCAGTTACTTGAAGATAGGGAATATATCTTATTCATATTCCTAACCTGTCCACCACAGTAATTTTCAAGTACAAATGTTTAAACCAATGAATAGCTTTGCTCCTTATATATGAGTCAAGGACCTCTACAATGAGTTATGTTGCTTTGCCTTTCTAATTTATACTCATCACAAATTTCTAATGGCCTCTTTTCTAAGCATGAGCCAGTACGTTTGATTCCTGTTATTATCCATATAGGCCATTCTTATTACTACATGCTCATGCATAAGTTTGGAAGAGCAATACTGGATGTAGCATCTCTGAGCCATGTGATATTATAGAGCTTAGTGAGAGTTTTGAAGCATCAATGTGCCAGGAGCCAGCAGAATTGCAATCTCACCTTTATTCACGGAGTAACTTTAGGCAAGTCATTTGTTTCCCCAGTTTTTTTGAAATAAGCAAACAAAACACAAGGAGATATTTGCCTGAGAGGTTTGTGGCAAGGGTCAAATTAAGGAATATTTGTGAAAATGCTCTGTAACACATGAAATGTTATATAAATTGGTTGAATGATGATATTGCAGAGTTTCACATTGAACTGTATGTTAAATTGGGGAATATTTAATAGGGAAAATGAAGAAACATCAACTTGTTCAAAATATATTTTAACATAAATCACAATATATGTTATTTCCATAAAATGTAGCTTGACATTTGTGGGGAAATCATATTATTGGTTCCAATCAATAATTTCAAAAGCATTTTCTGCAGATATATGAATAAGTATTTTTGTTTATACAAATTTGGAAAACACTGAATCAAAGTTCACAAAATTCTGTGTTATAACTCCTTATACCTTTTAATTCAGTTTCATTGAGAAATTTCTAAAATGGGGGTGTTGAAGTTGTATGTGTTTGTGTGTTGTACATGTGTGTGTATATATAGAGTATATCTTGCCATATTTCCTGAAAATAGATGAATAGAAAATGTCCTTCCATTTTTCTACAGAGCATCATGGGTCTAGAATTCCATATAACATTTTAGAAAATGCTATTCTTGTGGCCCAAATATTCTGTGATCCAATTACTTAGCTGGAAGATAGGCCTGCAGGAATAGTAGGTAACCTGTCAAATGTACTATATATTCTTGGGATGTGACCAAAATGCATGATCTAGCTTTGATTTGGTTTATCAGAGAAAGTCATTACCATGATATTCATTACTCTCAAGCAAATGGGCATCCTGAAAGGGAGACCCAGATGGCTGAGCTAAGATGTGGATGAGATTGGTTAGAAAGACTTACCAGGCTTTTCAATGATAATGTCAATGCAGCCACAGAAATCATCCCTGCTAACTACCCACTGAATCATTTCTTAATACTCGACCTTCTCCAACTAGACCTATGAGAGATCTTAAAAGAAAAATGTAAGTTTGTAGAATTCTATTTGGACACACTTTTTGTCATTCATTCTTTTCTGAAAGAATTTGCAAGGTATCTGCACCAATGGAAATCACAAGTCTTGGGTTCTAAAAGGCTAAGAATAAAGCTCGGGTTGGGGTGGCTTTTGCCATACATTTGTTGAGAAGACCTCTCTGCCAAGACAAGCTGAGAGTACTAAAAATATTAGAAAAAGGGTCACAAATGGACAGTTCACTGGCTGCCTTTAGCACTCAGTTATTATCTGTTTGGGGCACAGAGTGTTTTGAAAACTAAGTAATTAGGTCACAACTGAGATCTTGAAAAATTCAGAGACTCAGCAATATGGCGCTACATTTCTGTGTGAAAGCCATCAGTGATAGCTGAGCAGTACTTGTTTAGAAGGGGCATATGCTTCCAATTTACCCTGGTCCTTAATTCTTTTTGTTTTTGGATGTGAGCTATTTCACTGAATTATTTTCACCTGCTTGGCCCTATAGTACTTTATGGTTGGTATCCTCTGTATTAGTAGTATTGTTATTCAGAGCCTTCTAGCATGAATACTTCTTCCAACCATTCTACTTAGGAACACACACACTGTTGTTAGGAATGTAAATTAGTACAACTACTATGGAAAACAATACAGAAGTTCCCCGAAAAACAACAAGTAGAACTACCATATGATCCAGCAATTCTACCACTGGGTATCTATCCAGTACAGTGGAAATCAATATATCGAAGAGCTATCTGCACTCTTCTGTTTATTTTACCACTATTCACCATAATCAAGATATGGAATCAACCTAAGAGTCCATCAGAAGATGAATGGATAAATAAAATGTGGCATCTTTATACAATAGAATATTATTCAGCCATAAAAGTAATAAAATGCTGTCATTTGCAGCAACATGGATGGAGTTGAAGGTTATTATGTTAATTGAAATAAGTCAAGCACAGAAAGACAAATATTGTGTGTTCTCACTCATATGTGGGAGCTAAACAAGCGGATATCACAAAGATAGGAGTAGATTGGTAGTTATCAGAGGCCAGGAAGGTAGTGGGGAGGAGGGGAAAAGAGGGTGATTAATGCAGGGGTCCCTAACCCCCAAGTCCTGGACCAGTACTGGTCTGTTAGGAACCCAGCGGCACAGCAGGAGATGAGTGGATGAGCGAGCATTACCCCCTGAGCTCAACCTCATGTCAGATCAGCTGCGACAGTAAATTCTCACAGGAGCACAAATCCTGTTATGAACTGTGCATGCGAGGGATCTAGGTTGTGTGCTCCTTCTGAGAATCTGACTAATGCCTGGTAATCTGAGGTGGAACAGTTTCATCTTGAAACCATCCACATCCCTTCCCCCACCCCCATCTGTGGAAAAATGGAAAATTGGCCTATATCAAAGCAGTCCCTTGTGCCAAAAAGGTTGGGGACCACTGGATTAATGGGTACAAATATACAGTTAGGCTGGGTGCAGTGGCTCACACCTGTAATCCCAGCACTTTGGGAGGCGGAGGTGAGACAATTCCTTGAGATTAGGAGATCGAGACCAGCCTGGCCAACATGGTAAAACCCGGTCTCTACTGAAAATACAAAAATTAGCCAGTTGAGGTGGCACACACCTGTAGTCCAGCTACTCAGGAGGCTGAGGCAGGAGAATAGCTTGAACCTGGGAGGCAGAGGTTGCAGTGAGGCAAGATTGCACCACTGCACTCCAGCCTGGGAGACAGAGAGAGACTCCATCTCAAAATAAAAATAAAAATAAAAAATAAAAAAAAACAAGATGTGGTTAGAAAAAATAAGACAGTATTCAATTGATCAGTAAAGTGATTATATTAGCAATAATCTATTGTGCATTTCAAAATAGATGAGAATGATTTGAATGTTTCTAGCATAAAAGAAAGACAAGTATTTAAGGTGATGGATATCCCAGTTACCCTGATTCGATCTTTATACATTATATGAACGTATTAAATTATCATATGTACTCCCAAAAATGTACATCTGTGTCAGTAAAAAAAAGAAGAAAAATAGTCTTTTTATGTTTGCCAAAATATTTAGCATTTCTGGTGCTTTTCATTCCTTCTTTAAAACTCTGAGATTCCATCTGGCATCATTTTCTTCCTGCCTGATGAAGTACCTTTATCATTTCTTGTAGGGCATATCTGCTGGTGAAAAATTCTATTAATTATCAATTATTTGGAGATGACCTTTTCTTTCCTCCTTTCTTTTCCCTTTCCTTTTCCTTTTCTTTCCTTCTGCACTTTAAAGGTATTATTTTACTGTCTTCAGGACTTAATTTTTTAACATTTTATTTATTTAGTTGACAAAAATTGTATATATTATGTACTTAAAAATATGTGTACATTGTGGAATGGATACATTGAGCTAATTAATGTATATGTCACTTCACATACTTATGTGGTGAGAACTCTTAAAATCTACTCTTTTGGCAATTTTGAATAATACAATACACTGTTATTAACTACAGTCACCATGTTGTACAGTAGATCTCTTGAATTTATTCCTAGCTAACTGAAAGTTTGCATCCTTTGAGCAACATCTCCCCAACTTTAGCTACTGCCACCCCTTCCTCCCAGGCCCTGGTAACACCACCATACTGCTCTTTACTTCTATGAGTTCAACTTTATTTTAGTTTCTAAGTATAATTGAGATTATGTGGTATTTGTATTTCTGTGCCTGATTTATTTCACTTAACATAATGTCCTCCAAGTTCAGTCATGTTGTCACAAATGACAATATTTTCTTCTTTTTTAAGGCTGAGTAGTATTCCATTGTGTACATATCACCACCTTTTCTTTATCCATTCATTTGTTGATGGAGACTTAAGCTAATTCTCTGTCTTGTTTGAGCAGGCAATTAACTTGGACTCAAGTTGCAAACTGTCTCCTTAGCAAAAGATATCATGCAGCTAAGGAGATGGTTTGCAACTTGGGTCCAAGTTATTGCCTGCTCAAAGAAGACACTGCATTATGGATTTTATTTCTATTGGTCTTCTTTAAAGATTGGGCTAGATATATTAGGGGCTCAGCATCTACTGTTAATTTAACTTGCAAACCTCTCAACTGAAACACTTTGCACTATCTTTCCCATCCTCCTCATTATGTCGACCTCAAAAAACAATTTTAATCTTCAAATATATCATGCAGATTTACCAATTCAAAAATACAAAGATATATTTTAAAGGATGTTCTTTGAAGCTTAATTGCTAATTGCTATTTGCTAAAATTTCTGAAAAAATGTCAGCCAGGGTCTGGGTAAATAAATCATGATATATGCGTAAAAATTCATGATATCTGACTAGCTAAAAATAGATTTATAAGTCTTGCAATAAAAATATTTCCAAAATATATAGAAAAAGCAAGATAATAGGATTTGAATTCTGTATATATTTATATACATAAAGCTGTATATAGAGAGAGTGTCTGGAGGTAATGGTGAAGGGAGACTTTTTGTGGTTTCTTTTTTAACCAGGGTATTCACTGATTTTTATACTGAAAAACTAAAATTCATGTCACAAGACTCTTCCTCAATATACCAATGGGGAGAAAAATAAGTGTGAAAATTTAATCCTTAATATAGCTTTTTTTTTTTTGCAACATCCCCCTCTCACCTTTGCTAAATTTTACCTATAAAGTCATTTTTTTAAAGAACTAATGGGGAAAACCAATCTGAAGAGTAAAAACAAACAAACAAACAAAAAAAACCCTCAACATTTTACTTTGTCCTTAACATAGATGTCAGTGTTTTATCTAATATCTAGAATTTTCTGTTTTAAAGGCTGGGTTGAATAGTGCTTTCAGCAAAGAAGAAAGATAGAATTTATTTATTTATTTTTAAGTATGATGGCCTACAATCTTCTCTGTTACAAAAAACCCACACCAAAGAGATGACAAAATGACTTGCTGAGGGACATCATCCTGAGAAGATAAATAGACGTTAAAATGGTTTTGGCCTGAAAAATCAATTTGGTTGTCTATAGGCCTCATGGAAAGAAAATCACCTTTGCTGAGGAAAATATTATTTCTACCTCTGAGAGGACCAAACCAGTATGAGGGAGGAAGGAAGGCTCTTTTTTTTTTTTTTTTTTTAAATGATGACACTTTCTCCAACAAAGAATGAGTGTTTACAGAAAAATAGGGGACATATACTTATTTTTCTCAGCATTGAAGTAAAACCTTGTCCTTCTTTATTGTTCGCCCAGCTACAGGGCATTACTGACATATATGTATAGGATAGAGAGGCAAAAAGCCATGTCATGCTGTGAGGGCAACAGACTGATGTCTTGGTGAAGAAAAACAAAAAACTTTGAAGGTGAGAGAAGAATAACAGGGAAATGTAGGTAAAGAAGGACCAGCTGAGCAAACTCTTCCTGGTTGAGAGTCTGCAGCTGGCTGCAGCTTTCTTTTCTGTGTTGGGTGACCCATGGGAAGAACAACTACTATAGATTTTCTGTAAGGAGCAAGCAGAAGCATGAATAGCCTTCCAGCAACTTCTGGGAAAGGACTAGCCAGAGCTCTCTGACTTGTCACTAGCAGTCAGATTGGAACCAGTTGATTTATTAGGATGAGGAGAGTCAGAATAAGAAGTTGGGGGAGAGGGATTAGGAAGATTTGGAAGAGTCAAGACCTCATTCAAGAGGTCTCATAGAAAAGAATTGATTGTTTGAGCTCTAAAACCAGCTGAGGGTTTAATGCAGATGTTAGGAAGGGGATTAGCATCCATAAGCATCTTCTAATGGCAATATCCACATGCGGTAGGTGTAGCCATCACCTTCTTCTTTTTAATTGATGAAGGAACAAAGATTCAGAGATAGTAAGCCTTTTTTATATTGTCAAACACTATTAAGTAGTGGAGCCAGCTTTAGACCCACCTTTGTTCCAAAGCCTGTATCCTCTCCACTTCACTAGGACATCTCTCTGTTACATTAGGGCAGCTAAGGAAGCTCATGACCAGCTCATATTTACCATTTACTGTCTTTACTCTTCACTGTTTTAAGACTCTCTCTCCTCCTCTTCTGCCTCTATTCTCCATTAACCAGGTTCACCCACTCTAGCATTTAAAAGTAATTTATTTTAATCTGCATAACAACCCTTGGCAGTAGCTCTTGTTTTTCTCCATTTTATAGTTAAATGAGATTTACAGGTCAATGTGATGACAAAAAAAGTTTGGTTTTGCTCACTGAACAAAGGCATGCTGGAATTTTGGAGGTAGAGTCAGCATTTGGATTGAGCTGTTGGTATCAGAGCAAGGACTAGAACCCAAGCAGTGGGACAATTGTGCAGTAATTTTAATCTCCACTAGATGGCACTGTAAAAAGTGCTTTGAAAAGTGGCTTCCTTTGGGAGAGCTTTATTTCCTATTCAGCAAATATGTTACTCTCCTGGGGTACGTTACAGTCCTGGGGCCCAGTTCTCTTGAGTAGCTGGCATTCTGGCTTTTGCACAGAACTCTCTGTTCTGATGCAGCCCTTCATCCATCGTTGTCGGGAAGGGGCTCATGAATGATTTATCACTAATGATTCATCATTAATGAAAATTACCAATGATTAATCTTTAAAACCTCTCCTTCTTGGGAAGTTTGCTTATGCCCCCATACTTCTTGGAGTTTCTGTTCCCCACAAACAGTACTAAGCTGTCCTGAATACCATCCCTTCTCAACTCACAAGGCATACCCCTACCTTGGATTCATTTTGGAAATTTGGGAAATTGTCTCAAAGTGAATAACAAGATATCCGTCCTGCTTTAAGTAAGGAAGAGGGGGGATCTATGAGCTCTGCTCTCCAGAGATATACCCTTTGTCAAGGGTTAAATTATATTGTTATTAACTAATACCTTGCATTTTTGTCTCTTGGGTTCTTGATTACAGTGATGACTTTAGCCCAAACTCCCAAGTTTGACACACCCAGGGATCCATTAAAACTGTTGCAGCAACAGCATATAGTCAATGATGACTATATAGCTAGTTCCCAGTCATATGTAAAGATGATCTGTAATTTTTATCTCTATTTTCTATGATCTTATCTGTAATCTGATCTTATAAAATCATATCAAAATAAACTTCCTCACTTTGGAGACTTTGTATGGAATGCTTTTGTTTCCCAAGTTTGTTTACAAGGAACAGAATATGCAAATTTCTATGCCCTGTACAGTTTCAGCTTAATTATCACGCCTTTCTATCTCCCCAGATTAGGTTAAGACCCACAGTTATATTCTCCCATAACACTCTATCTTCTACCTTCAAAGCCACTTTACACACTAATTAATTATCTGTAATGTTTAAAACATGTGTGTTTTCCCTAGTAGATCTGAAAGACCATTGCAACAATAACCCCTTCTGGCTTGTTCACCACTGATTCCTTAGAGCCAGGCATATACCTTATATACAGTCAGTGTTAAATAAATATGTACTGAAAGAGAAATAAGTGTATAATTTAGCTTTATTCAGCTGTCTGGGAAATATATATTACTTGAGGAGGTCTATAAAATATTTTTACAGGGTACATTTAGTTTTGAAAATATACAGAGAACCTCACTGGGTCAAGAAGAAATGTACATTCTCCTGGTAAAGAGGTAGGAAAATTGCCTCCTGGAGTGTATGTTGAGATCCAAAAGAAAAATGCTTATCTTTGTGTTATTTGAACAGAGCACCAAATAAATGATTGTTTGTTGGAACTATTATATTGCTTTTTTGTCTCTTGGGTTCTTAATTACAATGATGATTAAGCAAATGGTTTATTTTTTTAAAACTAGAGTTTGGATATGATAAGCTTATTTGCTCTTATTCCATCAGAACATGTTTTGTTCTTCTGTTTTCAATTGATAGATTGTTTGTGATGTCTGCAATAGAGATCAAATGGAGAGAATTTTGCAATGATGTAATAGAAAGGGCATTAGAATTCTAGTCAGGGAAGTAGACTGGCTGTGTGAT
This sequence comes from Homo sapiens, assembly GCF_000001405.40. Taxonomy (NCBI): domain Eukaryota; kingdom Metazoa; phylum Chordata; class Mammalia; order Primates; family Hominidae; genus Homo; species Homo sapiens. The sequence goes on along the minus strand of NC_000011.10, from coordinate 30,141,672 downwards.
CTTATTTAAGCCACCTGCTATCTCTGAGCTTCAATTTCCTCATCTGTGAAATGAGGAGTTGAGTTTACATGAGTAGTGTGGGCATGCAGTGTCTGATGTGGGCCTCATTCATTTGCACTCCTGGTATTTATATTTTTGGGTAATCTTGCTTTGAATGTGAGTTGAATCCAGTGCCTGGCTTCAAACCAATAGACTATGAAAAAGTTAATGAGATGCCACCTTCACACACAAGCTACAAAAGATTGTGATTTCTGTCTTGCAAGTGCACTCTCTCTGCCTTGACCTCCCTGATTTTGATGAAGCAAGCTATCCAATTGGGAAGCCCACATGTCAAGGAACTGAGAAAGGCCTCTGGCTAATAACTAGTGAGAAACCGAGGCCCTCAGTCCAAGAGCCCTGAGTAACTGAATCCTGCCAAAAACCATGTAAGTGAACTTTGAAGCATATCTTTCTCAGTCAAGTCTTCAGATGGGACTTCAGCCCTACTCAACACCTTGATTGCAGCCTTGTGAGAAATCCCAAAGCAGAGTGTTCAATTAAGCCATGCCTAGATTCTTGCTGCACAGAAACTGAGATGTGTGTTGTACTGAGCTTCTAGGTTTAGGGGGAATTGGTCATACAGCAATAGGTAAATAATACAAGTGATTTCAAACTGATTGACAGCCTTATGCATGGATGACCACCTTTAGAGCCTCTCTGTCCAGAGACATCTCCTCTCCCCTAATCGATCCATGTACAAAAATATATAACACTTATATGCCTGTCGTTATGCTTTCTGGAAGGTTAAGAAAATCAACATATCTGATATGATATGCAGCTATCACAGAGGGGCAGCAGAGTAATAGTGATTGGTGGGGTCAAAAGAGCAAATTATTGATAAGTTTATAGTCATATCAGTTTAACTCTCTTGAGCCTCAGTTTCTTATTTGTAAAATGAGGAGACTGGAGTATAACAGGGTTCCCAGAATGTGGTCTCAGACTGGCATCATCACCATCAACTGGGAACTTAGAAATGCAAATCATCAGCACTGGCCATCAGAGAAATGCAAATCAAAACCGCAGTGAGATACCATCTTACACCAGTTAGAATGGCGATCATTAAAAAGTCAGGAAACAACAGGTGCTGGAGTGGATGTGGAGAAATAGGAACACTTTTATACTGTTGGTGGGACTGTAAACTAGTTCAACCATTGTGGAAGTCTGTGTGGCGATTCCTCAGGGATCTAGAACTAGAAATACCATTTGACCCAGCCATCCCATTACTGGGTATATACCCAAAGGATTATAAATCATGCTGCTATGAAGACACATGCACATGTATGTTTATTGCGGCACTATTCACAATAGCAAAGACTTGGAACCAACCCAAATGTCCAACAATGATAGACTGGATTAAGAAAATGTGGCACATATACACCATGAAATACTATGCAGCCATAAAAAATGATGAGTTCATGTCCTTCGTAGGGACATGGATGAAGCTGGAAACCGTCATTCTCAGCAAACTATCGCAAGGACAAAAAACCAAACACCACATGTTCTCACTCATAGGTGGGACTTGAACAATGAGAACACATGGACACAGGAAGGGGAACATCACACACTGGGGCCTGTTTTGGGGTGGGGGGAGGGGGGAGGGATAGCATTAGGAGATATACCTAATGCTAAATGACGAGTTAATGGGTGCAGCACACCAACATGGCACATGTATACATATGTAACAAACCTGCATGTTGTGCACATGTACCCTAAAACTTAAAGTATTAAAAAAAAAAGAAATGCAAATTCTCAAGCCTCAGCACAGACTTATTGAATCAGAAATTTTGGGGTGGGGCCCAGCATTTTAACAATCTGTCCAGGTGATTCTGAGGTACACAAAAGTTTGAGAACCACTGGGCTAGAAGTTCTCTGAGACCTCTCATAGCTCTACCGAGTAGTGATGACAGTAATAACAAGAAATGGTTATTGATCATATTCCAGGACTTACAAAAGGACTTTATATTCATTATCTCATTTAATCATCACAACACCCTGTGAAACAGACACTTGTTATCCGCATTTCTTGTAAAAGTTCTAATGTTCTTTGCTTCTGAAAGACAGGGACAATGTTTTATTCATCTCTAGATTCTATAAGCCTTGCACAGGCCTCATAGTTTCTACATACGTATGTATGTGTGTGTGTTAGATGATAATTGTTTGAAAACAGAATGAATGAATGGACAAATTCAATTTGTGAACAAAATTAATTTGTGAGTAAAAATAGTAGGAAGACAAGGTTGAAATATCAGAGGCTCTCTAGAAGTTGGCTAGATGAAGTCTGGGGCAAGTTGAATATTCTAATTACCACTTAAATCCATATTAGGAAGGTACCACCGAATTGGCTTACCTATGAGGCTGGCCTTGATCTCAGGGTAGCCAGCCTCTTGATTCCCAGTGTTTTCAGTTTGCAGGCTTCAGCTATGGAAAAATCTAATATGACATTTATTCATTTTTTTTCTGGAGAGTGACCCTGGAAGAAAAATTACTTTACAGAGATAATTAATATGACAGGGGCATAAGCAAAGCTTTGAAAGGATATTTCAAACACATTAATCAGAGTATTCCTTGTGCCTTCCAGAAACTCTTAGAGAGGAATACCTCCAAACAGTTAATAGCTACTGCTTCTCATTCCTTGGGCCTTCTAAGTGAATTAGCAGGGCCATTCAGATTTGTCTCTATATCCTTTCTAGACTTGGTTTCTTTGCCAACTACAATAAAAAACATGATTTTTGATGCTGTGAAACATCTCAATAAATAAGCATACAGTTAGAATTGACTCTGAGCTCAGCAACATCTTACACATTATTCATAATTATTGTAATGTCACTCCTGGTGTGTGTGAGTATGGGTGGGGTGGGGGTGTGGGAACATATTTTTTTCTTTCCTCTCATCTCTTCTGTAACAGTGTCAAACACTGTTTCAATCACTGTGCACATCTTTTCTCAAAATTATTCTGTAAGAAAGGTCCAGTTACTATTGTGATATTGCAGATGGGAAAACTGTGACACAGTGAGGTTAAAAAGCATCTTACTCTAGATCTCAGTGGTGAGTTGGGATTCAAACTCAGGCAGTCTAACTCTGCATCCAAAGCTTTTAACTATTATGTTGAATACTATCCTGACTAGATCAGAATATAGGCTAGATAGTCTATGAATTTGTAAGCATGGCTCTCTCATTCTTCTTGTTTTCATGCAAGAGAAATTACGTGTTTTTTTCCCAAAATACAATGGTGGAACAGGGATAGGATACCAGTTAACAGTTACATTTAAAAAAATAATAAAAAGAAAAAATGTAAGGGAAAAGGAGTTACCAGTTCCAAGCAAATTAGAAATCCAAAGGGGCAAACTCCTGTAAGTTTCAAGACCTGGGAATAATCTATGACTTGAGGCTTCATTTTCTGAGCCATTCTTTTATGAAGAATAGCATGTGTTAGCTGGGCGTGGTGGCTCACGCCTGTAATCCCAGCACTTTGGGAGGCTGAGGTGGGCAAATCATGGTGAAACCCCGTCTCTACTAAAATAAAATAAAAAATTAAAAAAAACTTAGCTGTTCGCGGTGGCACATGCCTGTAGTCCCAGCTGCTTGGGAGGCCTCAGCAGGGGAATCTCCTGAAGCCGGGAGACGGAGGTTGCAGTGAGTCGATATCACGCCACTGCACTCCAGCCTGGCAACAGAGCGAGACTCCGTCTCCAAAAAAAAAAAAAAAAAAAAAAAAAAAAAAGAATAAAAGAATAGCATGTGTTTGTAGCAGAGCGGTCTTATTAGTCTGTGTCCTGCCTGTAGAATTTTAGGAGTCCAACAGTCTTCTTTCATTTCATCATCTCTCTATCTATTTCTATCTTTCTGTTGGTATAAAATTCTCAAGAGGTCAAGAGATTTGTGGGTCTTCTGTGAATATTTTGGGGATTCACTCCATTAGATAAGAGTCTCTTCCATATATCTTTCCTGGATAAACCCATCTCTATTCCTGGCTTTTACTTAGATGGCTGAGATCTGTGAGTCACATGACTACCCTCTCCAGGATACCTCTGTGTGATTGAAATTCTCACCTCTGGATACTTCTGAGCCACTGGCAAAAGGTGGTCCAGCCATTTTGACTTTCTCTCCAGAGCAGTCTTTCCTGACAGCGAATCTCCTAATTTTAGCATCTTTTCCAATCTGGATCGAATGAGAATTTCCCAATCACCAAGTTCCAGTTTCTTTTTCTTTAACAATTATTTTGTCAACCTATCTCTTTCCTCTTGCATTTTATTATGAGCAATGTGACAAAACCATTCTGCACCTTCAATAATTTGCTTAAAATGCTTCTCAGCTAAATATCTAACTCCATTACTTATCATTTCTGCTTTCCATAATGGTAAGACAGAAATCCAGTAAGCATTCTGCCACTATAAAACAAGGCTGTCTTCTTCTACATTTTCTACTTGTTCCTTATTTTCTTCTAAACCTTCACCAGGAGTGCCTCTAATATCCATATTTCTATCAACAGTCTTTTATGAAGATTTAGGTATTCTGTAAAGTTATGTAGATTTTCACTATGGATTTTCTGCACCATGCTTTTCACTTCCTTCTGCATCCTCACCAGTAGAGTCATTATCCATATTTCTACTCAGTCTATCCCAGACAATCCGACATTTTCTGCTGTGTTCTTCAAAATCCTTTCAGCTTCTACCCATTGCCCAATTCCAAAGCCACTTCCACATTTAGTTATTTGTTACTGCACTTCCAGATATCCCAATCTATATAAGTCAGGGTTAAACCAGAGAAACAGAAAACTAGTAGGAGATATATTTTTTAAGCTTCCTTGCAAGAAATTGGTTTATGTGATTGTGGGGACTATGCAGGCAATTCCAAAATCCTTAGGGTAGGCTGTCAGGAACTTTAGGCTGGAACTCTTGGGCACAGGCTAAAGCTAAAGCTGGGATCCGCAGCTGGAATTTCTACTCCTGGGAAACCTCAGCTCCACTCTCAAGGCCTTTCAATTGATGAAATCAATCAGACTATCTAGGATAGTTGCCCTTTTAAAAACCCGACTGACTGGCTGGGCGTGGTGGCTCATGCCTGTAATCCCAGCACATTGGGAGGTGGAAGCGAGCAGATCACTTGAGGCCAGGAGTTCGAGACCAGCCTAGCCAACATGGTAAAACCCTGTCTCTAATAAAAATACAAAAAAAAAAAAAAATTAGCTGGGTTTGGTGGCGCACACCTGCTCTACTTGGGAGGCTGAGACAGGAGAATCACTTGAACCCAGGAGGCGGAGTTTACAGTGAGCCAAGGTGGTGCCACTGCACTCTAGCCTGGGTGACAGAGTGAGACTCTATCTCAAAAAAAAAAAAAAACTAATTATTGACTTTAATCACATCTATAAGAAATTTTCACCTAGACTAGTGTTTGATTGAATAACTGGGAAATCTGGCTTATTCAAAATAACACACAAAACTAACCATTACAAGATGGTACCTGAATTCCCATTTGTCTTTGTTCCTTGTTAACAATGTTTCTCTTAGGGTCTTGATGAGGAGGAAAAAATGACTAGACCAATAGCAAGATGGGAAGATTTCCTGGGTCCCCTATTCATGATATCATCAAAAATCTCATCACTAAGGCCGGTCCTGGTGACTCACACCTATAATCCCAGCATTTTGGGAGGCTGAGGCAGGAGGACCTCTTGAGCCCAGGAGTTTGAGACCAGCCAAGGCAACAAAGCAAGACCCTGTCTCTACAAAACAATAAAAATAAAACATTAGTCAGGTATGGTGGCATGCACCTGTAGTCCCAGCTACTTGGGAGGCTGAGGTGGGTCCTTGAGCCCAGGAGGTCGAAGGTGCAGTGAGCCATGATTGTGCCACTGCACTCTCACCTGGGTGACAGAGTGAGACCATTTTTTTAAAAAAAATCATTAACACTGAACAATATCCTTAATGTGAATATACTTAAAGTGATTAGAAAACAACATAAAATAGTGTGTACTTGGGAGGCTGAGGCAGAAGAATTGCTTGAACTCGGGAAGTGGAGGTTGTGGTGAGCCGAGATTGTGCCATTGCACTCCAGCCTGGGCAACAAGAGTGAAACCCTGTCTCAAAAAATAAATAAATAAAATAATGTGTATTCAATGGTTAAATTGTATGGAAGATACTAAAAGTACCATTTGAGTTTATAGGAAAAGTTAAGTAGGGGTTAATTTAAGAAGCAAAGTGTTAATTGAGAAGGCAGAATATGAGCTGAACAGGGCTCAGTTATAGATGGAGGGAAGAGCATATGACATATCCAGCAAGGGAACAGCTTGGAGATAGAAACAAAAATGGCATGTGGATGAAGCACCGAAAAGACTGCTCTCTCCCATGCATGATCTCTAGGACAATTGAGATTGGGTGTGTATATTATGGAGATCATTAAAATCTGTGCCACTGAATTTGTATTTGAAGTAATAGGTTATAAAGAGTCATATGATGGAAGCATTCTATAAGAAAGTTGAATCTGGCAGAGTGGGGCAGGATGAATTGGAAGGGGCAGAAGTTGTCATCATTTGTTCAGGAACTGAGATGAATACAGTGGGGATAAGAATGTAGAGCAGGAGAGTGATATAAGTGGCATTTTGAAGCAACAAACTAAGGGCATCTGGTAGAGTGAATACTGGAGATGAAGAATTGGCATGAGTCAAAATTTATGCCAAGAATTTGGTATTGATTATTTATGTTGAATTGGGACTTTACATTAGTATAATCAGGAGTCTACAAATTCTGCTCTTTTCCATACTAATCTCCTGCTTCTCAGGCAGGTTAGAAACAAGGGTACATGACAAAGGAGGCAAGAGAAAACACAGTAACACTATTATTAGCAGAGGCTTCTGCTTGAAGCTCCAGTGCAAAACTAGGAAGCTAAGGTGAACCATGTGGAAAAAATTTTAAGACATCAGAAGCAGCCTATATATAGCTTAGATCTGAAGCAAGTCAAACAGCTATCTATGTTTATGAGGTTCAGCCTGGATAGCAGATCTTCCACGGATGGTGTCAAAAAACCAATTTAAGGTGTACCCAGTGCAAGGGGAAAGTGCTGGTGGCTCCAGGCATGAATGAAGAGAGAATATTCACAGAGGATAGAATGAAGGGTTGCACGGAGCAGCCCAGAACACTAATCTTTTTGGTCTAGTAGAAAAGAGGGAAGAGAAATTCCAGCCACAAAATCAGTTCAATTCGAAACTCCACTCCTAGAAAATGTAGCCAACTCAGTACCTTGAACTTAACCAATCCTTCTACTCTTGGCAGGCCAAGTTTCTCCTTTTCCTGGCTGCTCATTTTTAGGGGTGAGTGAGGGAGAGGGATCCTATGGGAACCTCCCTTTCTCATAGAGGGCCATCACTTTATGCCTCGTTAATAGGCAGGATAGTGGCGCCATTGGTTTAGAAAGGGAACAGAGGAGAGGGGCTCTACCTGGGGTGAGAAGCTGGTGTATTAGACAATGATCACACATTTTCTTATGTTCCCTCATTTGTTCTTCACAATAACTATGTAAAAAAACCGTTAGCATCCTGGAAGATTTGCTAGTTTAGGGGTCTCAAGATGATATAGCACACTCAAATTGAATGATTTATAAGTGAGTGAACAGAATTTAAAAGGACATGAGAGCTATTAACTGCCTCTTGGCCTGAAGGGTCAACAGGAAAAAACGGTTAATGTAACCCAAAGAAAAGTTTGGCTACTACGGACTGAATGGTTTGTGTCTCCCCAAGTTCATATATGGAAGCTCTGATCCCCAGTGTGATGGCAATTGGAGGTCGGGTCTTTGGAAGGTAATTAGTTTATGAGGGTGGGGCCTTCATATATGGGATTAATGTGATCATAATAAGAGAAAAGAGAAAGAAGATCTATCTCTCTACCATGTGAGGATACAACAGGGAGGGGCATCCATCTGCAAACCAAGAAGAGGGCCCTTAGCAGGAACCAAATTGGCAAGCACCTTGACCATGAGCTTTTCAGTCTTCAACTGCAAGGAATACATTTCTGTTGTTTAAGTCACCGAGTGTGTAGTTCTCTTTGTTATAGGAGCCTGAACTGACTATGGCTCTATGGAGAGAACAGCCTGAAGACAGCTATGACGTTAGGCCAAAGTCAAGCCTTGTGACTTAGCAGGTGGGGCACTGGGAATGTAAATACACCAATCTCACCCTTCATTCACCCTCTAGTCTTTTGCTGATGTCTACATTGGCTAAACACAACAGGAAGCCACAGGATAAAAAAGCCTGTCCATAAAATTCACATAATTCAATGTATCTGAGCACAGACTGAGCTGCAAAAAGGTGGAGAAAGCGTCTGGGAAGGGGAGTAACCGAAAGATTCCAACACAGGCCAGATTGTGAACTCAATGGAGAGTGAGCTAATAGTTGGATTTAAGGGAGGAAATGACTCTTTGCTTGCAAGAAATGCAGGGCTAGTGGTAGAGATTTGGGATACAAGTTAGAGAATGTTTAATGTGAAAAAAAGAATTTATATCAGGTACAGTGCAAGCATTTTCTTATGTTCCCTCGTTTGTTCTTCCCAGTAACTATGTAAACAAACAAACAAACAAACAATTGGCATTCTGAGAGATTTGCTAGACCAGGGTCTCAAACTGGCAGTTCAGAGACTGAGTTTCTATGTTTTATTTGGCCTATGTGATGCCTTAAAAATCAGATTTCCCATAACAAATCCAGGTTTCTGGTTTCTCTGGAAAAATCAGACGGTGTGGCAGTAGCAAGTTTGCATTCTTGCAAGCTAGTCTGGATGGTAACTTTCATGTTTAGACTGGATATGAACATTGATACAATACCCATCACTCCCTGTTGTAGAATTGCATCATACCTTCCAGATTAATTCTGTTACATTACCTGCCAAGTATTTTAATTTTCAACCCCGATCTACTCCCTCTTATTTTTCAGGTTAATAAATTAAGTAATAGAGAAACTGGATGACTTGTTCAAAATTTCACAGCTAGTTAATGCCAAAACTTGCATTAGAATTTAGGTCTTAGGCCTCTGCATCAAGTAATCTGTTAAACCTAAGAGTGGATAACTATAACTTTCACAGTAATCAAGGCAGTGTGGTGCTGGCATAAAAACAAACACATACATCATCAGAACAAAATAGAGTCTGGAAATAAAACCACATATATAGAGTCAACTGATTTTCAATAATTGTGCCAAGTTAATTCAGTGAGTAAAATCTTCTCCACAAATGGTGCTTGAGCAACTGGGCTAAAATAAACATTTACCCCTATGTCTCATTATATATGTAAATTAATTCAAGATGGATCAAGATGGAGCCTCATTCAAGATGGAGCCTAAATGTAAAAGCTAAAACTATAAAACTTCTGGAAGAAAACATGGGAGCATATCTTTGTGACCTCAGACAAAGCAAAGACCTGCAGGAGAGGACACAAAAGACACTAACTGTAAAATAAAACAAGTATTTAAAAGAATGGATGCACTTTTTTTATAAGATAATGTGGAGAAGGTCCAGAGTGCTTAGTACTGAGTACTGGGGTTGTAAGAAATCAGAGGCATTTAAGAAGAAGGAGCAAGAGAGGAATAAAAGGTGTTGGCAGAAATATTGTAAGTGGTTAGGATATTCTGAATCTTTCCCAAGGTTCTAATATCAACCTATTTAATTTGGGTCTATAAAGTTTATTTAGAAGTTTCCTAAAAGCCTCTTCTCTTACTAGGCTTTGGTAAACTAATGATTCAAATTGCTGAAGCGGTTTCCTTCTGAAAATTTGAGCCCTCTCCCAGGTTTTGTTTAATTCTCTGTCTATGGCATGCTCTGAAGCCTACTGTTTTTGTTTCCTAGTCTGAGTCAGATCCAGGTTTCAGGCCTTGACCATCAGACTCTGTTAAGGCAATAGCTCCACACAGTGTTGGTTTAAAACAGCCCTATGTTTATGATGTAGTGGACTCTGGGCTCAAAAACACCCATAGTCCTTTCTGCTGACTGGATCAGTTTGTGAGGTGCAAAAAAAAAAACAAAACAAAACAGATGAGTACATAGTTAAATGAGGTTATTTTTCATTTTCCCTCGCCACTTGAAAACTATGTCTCTTCAGCTGCAGAAGGAGATGTTTGGTTTCCTAATGGTGAAAGTTTCCTCTCTTTCTCCCTAAAATATTCATTTTATCAAATTATTGTATTTTTGGTTCCTTTGCAGCAGTCATTTATTGTTCTATGTTATATACAAAGTTAAGAGGAGAGTTCCTTTTGGATTGTGCTTCTTTGCTTCTGAAAACGTATAGTAATGAAACTTCTTTATTTTTTCTTCTCCTGTTATTTCCAGAATATACTGGTATTTTTCAATAGAACAAATCTACCATTTCCACTTATCAGTCATCTTCTGTTTTCTTAAAATAGTCGCTTGTTCTGATTCTACGTTTACTCGCTCTCTTCTGTTCTTTAGATGTTATCATTTCTGTGTTTATTATACCCTGGAGATATTTTCTGTGTCTTTTATGCCCTGGAGATTAATAGACATTTGAATTTGGGTATCAAGATGATGACCACCATGTAATCTCCTTTTCAAATTCATTTCCTTTATGAATTGCTTTTTTTTAAAGATGGAAACCTAACTTCATCCCTTGAAGAAACTGGAACAGCCAAATGGGAGTTTAGCTTCTAGGATACAAAGCATGCAGAAACACAGAACACAAAATATCATGCTTGGCAGCTCTCCACACAGCCTCATGCACAGCTCACATGGTATCTTCACAATATGGCTCTAAGCTATGTTCATGTGAAATATGGCTTCTAATGAAGAACTTCAAAGGTGTAAAACCAGCTGTATGCTGTCAACCTAGTCACATTGTATGACAGTTTGAAGAAAAATGAACTGTATAAGCAAGAACTATGGACCCAACACAGTGGTATTTCAGTATCAGAACTTTCTGTGGAGTAGGCTCTTGTGTGTGTTGAGGCTCCTGCCTTCTATTTTAGCCCTCTTGTAGTGATGCTACTACTATAGTCATTTGAGGTCCCAGAATGGTTTAGGATGCCATGGAAAAGGCAGAGGACAGCTAGGAAGATTTTGTGTACTGAATTTGCAAACAAAAAGAAATCAGTTAACAAATACAGCTGTAACCTGTCCTTAGAACTTCTCCAAGCCTTATCCTCCCTCATCAGAATCTGGCCTGTTTTTGCAAGACACATTTTTGCTGTTCCCTAGTTTTAATAAGGTAATACAATTGTCTCCTTTTTAAAAATTAATTTTTAAATATCAAAGCACAAGGAGCAAATCACAGACTATTTGGAAAACATGATTAATAAGCAAAAAATCTTGTCAATGAGTTTTCAGCAAGTGCCAGATTAAATAATTCTGGGCATTTTAGGCACATTTTGTCATTTTCTCATGACAGCTACTGTGAGGTTTGGTATTATAGCTGTTTTACAGATGGGGCTGGGAAAATTAAATTTGATGGGACAGGGAAAATGTGAATACAATCTGCCAGTGGTCAAATGCAGAGCTGGCACTGGAAGCAAGTCTCTTGGACCCTGAAGCACACGTTCTTACTGCTCTGGTTGGGCCTCCTTATGGCTTGTTGGTCCAAGATTAAGGGAACATATCCTGACCTGAGCTTAGTTCTATGTTGAGGACTAAGGACAGCTACATAGATGGAGCTTACTTTCTAGGAGTTACAGCAAGTACACATCTTACTTTTCCTGAGCAGGGATAATAACATGATCAAGGTAAAGTTCTGTAAGATGATTTTGCCCCCATTGTGCAGGATGGACTCAGAGAAGGGTGACTAGTGGCAGGGACCCTGGCTGGGAGGTCATTGTTGTGATCCAAGTGTGACTCTCCCAGGATCCCAGCTAAGAATCTTATCACCTTATATGGTTTTCAGTTTTTGTTTAGAGGTCACTGCAGTTTTCACAAGATATTTTTGGGCTGAGACATACCATTTTGGATTTGCTTTGGTTCCAATGTCTTTTCTTCCTAATATGTTTTTTTTTTTTGGCCTCAGGGTGACGGCAGGTGAAATACAGTCCCTTAGCCACTCTTTTCTTTTAATCCCCTGATCCCAGTCATCCTTTAAGCTTGTTCAGTTCACTAGTTAGGACACAAGGGATTCCTTTTTAGCATAGGCTGAGGCCCCAAGTCTTCAGCCTGATAAGCCCTGTACAGTTGAGGGTGGAGGTGTTTGGGAAGAGGTAAAGGAGGTTATTTCTGTTCTGGCTAAGTATTTATCCTGCCTTGGGAACTGTAAAACAGCTCAGTTCCTTTCACTGAGGGTTTGGGCCTCCAGGAACCTCTCTGCCATCCCCAAGCACTCCTTCTGGCATTGCTGTACAGTATCAACCCAGATGCCTCTGGGATTTGGAGCTGCAGCAGGCTGGCAGTATCACCTCCTTGTTTCTCTCCTTCCCAGGCTGTAATTTAGGCGCCCCATTTACCTGCAGAGAACAGTGGTTTGCATGTCAGCTGTCAGCCTGAAGCTATACTTTTTCTATCTGATTCTTTTGGTGCTCATTATTTACTATTCTTTTTAGCCAAGTATTATGTGAAACACGAAAATATTGCAGAGAACCAGCCAAGTCTTAACAAAATATCTAGGAGTTGCAGATTCCATATAGCTGTTTCTTAGCCTTGCATTGGTTAGAGCCCACCAGCCCAAGTGTCTGCATCTCAGAGGAAACTTCAGTGTGACAAGATTGATAAATTCTGAAGGTCAAATCAGACTGTGCAATCCCCTTTGCTCTTTATGGCCTTCCTTTTCTACCACCATAACTGCGAATGTTTTTTTAAGGTGCAATTACATATACTAAGGTTAAGAAAAGGGAACTTTGAAGAGGAAAACAGTATCCCTTTGAAGAACAATTTAGGAAAGCAAAATGCAGCCATTATTTTTTCCTGCAGTTGGTGTTTATGAGCTGAGGAAAATTACAAGTCTTTCTTCTTTGCAAGTAGCTTTTTCCTTTGCCTTCATGGATGAATTGCCTTCCCACATCACTGCCCTCAGGCATCATTATAGGGCCAGTGTAGAGACAAATAATAATGCCCAATAATTTATCAAATCTTGGATACTGAAAAATTTCCATATTTAACAATTCCTTGCCTACTACATTAAGAAATAAGACAGTGGGGTTAGCTCCCTCTAGAGGTGATCACTTGCAAATGTTGTTGAACGACAGGATGAGCTGGTAATTGGAAGCTTCCCAAATCGGAGCATCTGAAGGCAGAGTTCTCATCCCTTGCTCCTTTGGGGGATCCCATGGTGATGTCTGGTGGACATAAATTCAGAAAATGAGTCAGCAGTGAGAAGGATATATAAGCTAAGAGAAATGTAAGATGATGTGCACAGTCAGCCCATTGCAATGCTTAAGGATAAAAAGAATACCACTCATTTCCCATTAGATTCTAGGGTCAGATTTCCCCTCCTGTGTCAATGCCTCCAGATGCATAGTTTACCCCAGGGATAGGAATTAAGTGGAAACTTTTGGGGAGCATTTAGTTTCCTTGAATCTTCAGGATGATGGGCTTTTGTCCTTGGATTTAGAGCTTGATTACAATATATGTTTATTCTACCATATGGTCTAGATGTGGAAAAGCAGACACAGAAGAGATGAACACATTAATACCTAAGGCTGTCCAGGTTGACAAAGGCAGCTGTATTCCTTTTATTCCTAAAAAGAGAGGTTCAAATCTCCAACACACCCAATTTAATCTGCCCAAGCAATCTTAATGACCTCCCTAATTTCCATGATTGCTCTGGGTCTGTTCTCCTCTAAGTAGACATTTTTGAGAAGACCAGTTAAGTGAGAACATTAAGGGGGGAAGAATTTTTGAAAAGAAAACCTTGAAGATCTGGCCCCAGGACTGGCAAGTGAGCTAAGTAACGAAGTGATGTAGCCTATTAGGCACTTTCACTGTTTCTTGTTTTCAAGAACTACTCATGCATGCCTATTCACAAGAGTAGGCACTTGGGTCTTGGTGTCACTGTCATGTAATCCTTATGGAAGTTTCCCTTGTTACTTGCTTGAGAATATGATTTGATTTCTTATTAGTGATGGAACTTCACTGGGGTTGGGTTATAAACAGAAAGTCCCCTTGACCAGGTAGCCCATTTGGTCTGCACCTGGCCTCCAAGAGTCCCAACCCAAAGTCAGATTATAGTTACCTCCCTAATGACTGACCCTGTAGTTGGCCTCCAATAGGGACAGCAAATAGTTTTCATCATATTTTTTGGCTTTGATTGGAAGTAGCTGCCTGGGATAGTATTGAAAGTAAAATTATGAAGCTGTGTCTAGGCTCAGAGAGAGTTAATTCCATAGTTTATATGAAATGACTATCATAGACATAGGTGAGGGTAGTGAGAACATAGATGCCAAGCATTTGCCATGCTAGGACATCTTGTGTGTCTTTGAAGTGACTCCTTGTACACACTACACCTAGTTCCATTTCCATATTATTCATTCTATTTATTCCCTAAATTTCCTGGGAACTACCCTTAAGTGATATTAATAGCTGTCACCTACATAGTGCTTATTGTGTATTGGATGCTAATCTAAGCATTTATATATTCTTAATCTCACCACAACCATGTGAAATTCTTTTTATTACCTTTATTTTAAAAGTAAGGAAACTGAGTCACAGAAAGTTTAAAAAATTGCCCGGGGTCACAACTAGTAAGTGGAAGACTGAGAATTTCAACCTAGGCAGTCTGGATGTAGGGTCCCTGCATGCAATAGCTGGGGTATTCTGCCTCTGTAATTAGTATGATGGGTATTCCAATCTCTCCAAGAGCTCTGTCCCCTCACACACCTCAAAGGCCAGCCTCTTTTGCCTCCCATAACTCCCTCTCTTTTCTTTTCAGAAAGAAGCACAAAGATACAAACTATAAGCCCTTTCAGTAATTGTTTTCATTTTTTTCCTATTAGAATTCCATTATCACTACTTTCTAAGGCTAATGTTGTTCTAAGACTAAAGCACATATTAATAGGTTTATAAATTATATGAGGGTGAAGAGGAAGTGTTCTAAGAAGGATGGATTCAGAATCCTGAGTAGGGTGAGAAGAAGAAATGAAGAGTAGGATGAAATACTAGCATCAAGGCAACATAATTGGGGGAAGTAGTAGAATAGTAACATTTCTAGAATTGGAAATTTTAGGTTCTGAAATTAATTAATTCAGCAATCAAGTATTTTGTGTCTGCTATGTATCAGGCACAGAGCTGAGCACTGGAAATAAAAAGGAGATTAAGGAAGAGCCGCTTTGTCTAAGCATTTTACATTTATGACAGATAAATAAATATGTAGACAAACAAATCTTATGAGTTAGACTCCTAGTCCTGGCCCACTCTGATCCTGGGAGGAAGAGTGACTTTTCAATTTGAATCTGCATTGAATGTGGCTTAGCCCCTTCTAGGATCTTCTTGGTGTCTGTCCACCAGGAAAGAATACATTCTGATCTGCTGTCTGGGCCATGAATAGATTTACTGGGGTAGGCTCTGCCCTTGTAGAGTAGGCTGTGATTTCTCAGTAAGACTGATGTAATAGGTGACTTTTTGGGTGCAGTATTAATACCATTTTGTGCCACACACATACATGTTCCAATCTAACTTCAAATAGTAACAACACCAATATTTTGGTAACCATATGTACGCCTCTTCCTTACTTTCAATTCTATCTGAATTCACAGAGGGTCATTTACCTCAACAGTTCATGTAATCCTCCTGTGGCTTTAGTGAACTTCAGTGGTTCCTTGACTCCTCCGTTATTGCAAATGGGCTGAAGAGATTATCCAGCTCTGGCCCAGAAATATCCTCACTGCCAGGGTGCCAGGAGTAATAGTTGTGATTCATGGACTAATTGGCAATCACTATCAGGATTACCAGAAATTCATCTGGAATGTTTTGTAAAACTTAAAGAAACATTTCTAGTGCGTGTTTCACTGTTTTTAGTAGCTTGTCAACACCTTGGAAACTGAGGTTCTAGCTGACAAAACTCTGAGGGTGAGCGTGCACTGAATTAGGTAACACCCAGAGAATGAATGCCAGGATATTTCTCATGGAGGAGGGGAGGGCTGCCATGGCTTTTCCCAATGACCTGGCTTCTCTTTGTAAGCTCATTTGTCATACAAAAGACATTTTGGGCATCATGCCCACTAAGAAGTTCTCCACACTTTCCTTTTGTCATTCTACAGCACTCTGTGATATGGTGTTGATGGCACGGTATCATCGCCATGTGTTTCCTTGTCTGTTACCAGAGGGTTAACTCCTAGAGGGAAGGAGTTCTGACATAGTCACCTTCGTGTTAGCTTGCAAGATATAATTTTAGACAAGAAGAAAGGAAAGGTGCAAATATGCTAAATGAGTTTGAAGCATCCTCAACCAGGCTAGAACAGGGTATCCAAAGGAGATAGCCAGAACTTTCAAAAACAGACTTTCAAAGACAGAAGACAGACCCTCTGGGCAGGTATGTCAGAGGGAATCAGAATCTCATTCATTTTGTTCTCCAATTCAGGTCCTGACACTCGGCATGTTGAGTATAAAATTTCAGAATAAAAAGACTGTGGCCAGTATGAACAAGTTAAAGACCCCAAATGTTTATTAACTACCCCAGTTCGAGCAGTATTCATGGCAGTGATGAAGCCAGATGATTAAATGTACCAAATAACCTTCAAGATTGCTACATGCAGGTTTGGATATGGGAGCATGACTGTGGGATGCTAGAAACTTGAAAAAGCTTTGGGGGAGGGGTTTGGGTGACAGACTATAGAGAAGAGATGAAAACCTTAAGGTTTCTTAGCATTAAGAAGACAGCACTGGGTAGCAATTCAGTAGTGACTTCAAGATATATAGAGATAGATTCTGTGGGGCTGCAATTTGAATCCATGTTGTGTACATGGCTTGATCTTACTCTATACGCAATTCTCAATATTCACCCTTAAGAAGGTTTAAATAAAGTAGTTTCCCAGCTAAATTTTTAATGTGTATACATTACTGACAAAGCCAAAGAAGGGAATGGAAAGATGTGATAGATGGACTTTGATTTTCTCTGGAGTAGTTGAAATGAATAGTTTGTCTGGGTAACTAGGGAAAGAACACAATTTGGCTCAATCCCAGGCTAACTGTGACCCAGACAGATAGTAAATGTTTAATATAGGTGCTAAGAGGGACTGCATTATCATGAAGACTTTTAACCAAAAAACATCACCCAAAACGAAAATGGAAAAATAAATAGACAATGAAAAACTGTAAAAATTGAAAAATAAAATTCCACCCAGAAGATTGTATTAACATACAAAGGGCAAAACATTTCAGACATTAATATTTTTAACAGTCATCAAAAGCTACTTATGATAGAAAAAATACCATAAGTTTATTAAAACTTCACATCTTGAGAGTTATTTTCCCCAAACCAACTAATAATCTTAACAATCCCAAAGTCTAATTATTAGGAAGTTGAGCTCTCATTCCCAATTTTAATCACTTGTGTCCTTGAATAGCCATCATTTTGGGAGGTGTATGTTGTTAAGGCCTTTCTTCATTCCCCTGACAATTCCCCCTCATCACTGTCTTGGCCTGTTCCCCAGCAGTAGTCAGCATTTATTAAATGTGTACAATGTTTAAGCCCATGCTAAGGACTTATATTCATTAGCTGCCTAGTCTTTATGTTGTACGACTGTTAACACGTTTCATAGGAAAGTGCTGCTCAGAGAGGCTAAGATTGCACTCAAGGAGACAAAATTACCAAGGAGATGCTGAGATGAGTTCAAACCTAAATCTATTTGATGCAGAATTTTCACTCCTAAACTCCAAATTGCACAACTCCCATGTCTGACCTTACGCCAGCACTCAGCCTGGTTAGTTTATCCACTGCTCTCCATCTGACCATTACTAGATTCTGGGTTCCTGGAGGAGCCTTTGATTATTCACCTACAGAGCTCCCTGGCTCCCAGAAAACACCCAGCATTTGTTGAGGGAATGAAGAAATGGGTGAATAAAAAAAATGAAGTCTTCTGTATGGAGGCAAAGGGTTGAATTTCAGGTTGGATTTCTAAACATTTAGAAATCCCCCAAACTCATTGTTATATCTAGAATCCTAGCATGATACCTGCTATGTAGTTCACTGTATGATTTTTGCTAGTACAAATAATGCTGTTGTGAAAACTTATACATGTTTTCTGGTATATTAGTGCAAAAATTCTCTTGGGAATATACGTAGAATAAAATTTCTGAGCTAGTTTTTTCAAGTTCACTAAGTAATAACAAATCGTTTTTTTTTTTTTTTTTTAAAAAAGTTTTCTACAGATTTACACTCCCATCAGCAGTGAGAAGAGCAAGGATTCCTGTTATGCAGTCTTAGTTTGTCTTCCCCCAAGTGCAGATCCAGAGACAAGAATTTGGGTCCAAACAGGTTTTTCTGGAGGGTGAACTCAGAAAGCACTGTGGACAGTAGAGCTAAAGAAGAGAGGAAAGTCCATACAGGTTATAGGAAAAGTTATATGGATGATTAATACTATGTATAGCCAATTGAGGCTCGTTCTCTCTGGGAATCCTTTAAGGAAGCTGGCATGTTTAATCACCATATCCTATCCCTTGTTGGATGAGGATTGTTCCTGTAAGCCTGCACATGAATGCCGATGGCAGGAGACATCTAGGGTAAGCCAAAGAAGATGGCCAGGCACTGGTAGTATCGGCTACACTGAGCATCCTGGCCAATGATTGACATTATAAGAGTCTTTACATCTTGCCAATCTATTGGTTATAAAATGACATCTCAATGTGGCTTTAATTTCCATTTCTCTGTATACTAATGGAGTTAACATCTCTGGATATATTTGTTGGCTATTTGCGTTTCATGTGAAATGCCTATTCTTGTCCTTTACCTACTTTTTGTTAGGTTGTTGTTGGCTTTTTCTTATTTATCTGTAAGGATTTCTTTATATATTCTGGATATGTAGTAGAGACTGGCTAACTGTTCATCAAACCTATTCCTCTTCCCTTCTGGGCATGAAACTAGACTGTTTCCATCCTCCTTGGCAGCTAGGTGAGGTTTTGTGACTAGCTTCTGATAATGGAATGTGAGAAGAAGTGAGGCATGCCAACTTTCAGGCCTGTCCAAGAAAAGCCTCCTCTGTGATCTGCTACCCTTTCTCTTCTCCCATCTGCTAGTTAGCTACTATAGATTAGGGAGATCTTGGAAGCCAAGTATAAAAGATAGCAGAGCCTTCTGCAACCTGGAGTATTACTGAGTTAAGGGAAGCCTTCCCAAGCAGAGACTGGAATTTGCATGAGCAAGAAATTAGTTGCTATCATGTTATGCTACGGAGATTTTAAGATTTATCAGTTAAAGTTATAGCAATCTCTTAATAGAGGATACTGATCTTTTATAAATTACATGCCACACAAGTATCTTAGATTGAAATAAGTAGCTTATGTGTGTGGCAAAAATGGCCTTATTAATATATTCCCAAGGAGTCATCTTACCTACCCAGTCAAGGACAAAACTGGAAAATCACAGGCCTAATCTTGTGCCTATATAGGGGCAGGGCCTACTCCAATATACCTATTCATGACCAGACAGCAGATCAAAATGCATGTTCCTTCCAGGCAGTCAGATGCCAAGAAGATCCTAAAAGGGGCTAAGCCACATACAGTGCAGTTCCAAATCAAAAATTTACTTCCCTCCTAGAGAAAGTGCAGGTAGGCAGAGAGAGGCCGGGACCAGGAGTCTAACTCTGATGGAGGTCCATCTTTTTGGAACATGAAACATAGAAAGGAGGCCCTCTTCCCATGAACCAAAGATCTTGCAAGGCTGCCACCCTGCTGGGTATCACTGTGATTGTGGAGATTGTGCTTGGCCATGTAGCTGGTGGAAGTTTGACTTCTCATTTTAAGGAATCTTTGATTAACTCTTTATTATCCTTCATACAGGGAAGATATCCAGTAATGGGTTGCAATGCAGGGTTGGATGTTTGGAACATAGAAGAAGGAGAAGAGGCCTGAAGGACGGGAGAAGGTCATGCTTAGTGAAAAGTACAGTGAAGAGAATTATCTGGAGATACCAAATACCTTTACATTAATGAATTTTTAGGGGGATCTGAGATTATATCATGATCTTAATTTAGTTGAGTCCTCCCTAAATAATTCCTCCTGGGGTTCTGTAAACCACTTTAGGATCAGCATGGAAAGGAAAATAAAAACCTATTATTTTTGAAAACAGGGTATTATTAAACTAAGGTCATTAATGACAGTAGTAATTAAGATTATAGGCCTTGAAGTCATGTATAACTGCATCCAAATCCCAGTTTTGTCACTTCTTGGTTATTTAACCTTGGAAAAGTTACTTAATCTCTCTCAGCCTCAGTTTCCACATCTGTAAAATGAGAATAACATACTGTATGCATCATACAATTTGTGGTAAGAATCAAATGAGGTTTAAAAAGTTCAACACACTCAGCACAACATCTTGTCTAGACATGGTAGGAATTCAATAAATGGTGACAACTATTGTTATCAGTCCCAGGTCAGCTCAAATGAGATAATATGTGTGAAACATAATTTGTAAACTGAAGTAATCTGGTTCAGTGCTCCTGGAATACTTTGCTTCTACCTCTATAAAAGCATTGTTCGCTTTCTCACAGTACAGTTGTCAAGCTGACCTTGCTTTACCAGCCAGTGGGGCCTGGGACTTCGATTCAGACTGTGGTTCAAGGGGAAAGAGCAGGTCTAAGTAGGGTGCTCCTATGGGACAGAGACCACCAAGATCATTGAGAACATCTGGGGAAAAAGAGGAGAGAATGGTAAAAATAGACACTAGAACCAATGAGACTGCATAAGTGATTGCATTCTAGCCTGTAAAGATATCTTTTGATGCCTTCAATATAAAGAGCTTAGAGCCCTAATTTTGGCCATGGACAGAAAGGAAACTCTCGTGGGCATTAAGCTGAGCGGAAAGCGATTGCATGCCTTTATCTACTTGTTTTTCTCTAAAATCACCACCTCACATGTAGATGTCGTACATCCAGCACATGTCCTGAACTGGGGACATCTTTATAAATGTTATTCTTTATTCTGTCTCCAGCATCTAGCCCATTGACATGGAAATGGTGAGTCATCAGTGCATGCTAATTGAATACATTAATGTAAACATATAAGAGGTGTTGTGTTCACTTTGGTTGGACCCCTTGTTTTTAATCTACTCCTAAAGCAGCCCTGAATTGTCAGAGGAGACGCAACAGAGAAAAGCAAAGGGCCATAGAAATCTACTGCTTTAGCAGTCACGTGACCAAGGATTAGGTGCATGCCATAGTGAGAAAAAGAACTGTTCTAAAACAGAATTGGCTACCATACAAGAGAGTGAGCTCCAGCTAGAGGAGAGGGAGTAGAGGTGTGGTGGGCACCGAGCAGAAGTTGCATGGCCATCTGAGGGCAGCGTGGTACAGGGATGCCTGCACTGGTTGGACCATATTATCACCCCTACACACAACTATATCAGAATCTCCTGTGGATGGGATTCTTATAAACAAACAAACAAACAAACTCATTCCTAGGCCCTTTTTCCAAAAATTCTGATTTAGTAGATCTGAATTTGGACCCAGAAATCTGTGAGTTATAATCAACATTCTTTAACAGCACCCATTCAAGTGCAAAGTTTGATGAATTTTGACAAATGTATATACCCATATATTCACTGAAATCAAGATGTACAATATTTATATAACTCCAAAAACTTCCTTGGAAGTTACAAAAATGTCACTGTAGTCAATTGTTCCCCTCTCAGGTCCAGACCACCACTGGTATGCTTTTTGTCATTGTAAATTAGTTTTTCTGGCTCTAGAACATGATCTATGGAATCTACAATGTGAACTCTTTGTGTCTGGCTTCTTTCCTTAAGCATAATGTTTTTGAGATTCATCTGTGTTCCCAGGTATACAAGTTGTTTATTCTTTTTATTTATGTGTAATATTCTGTTGTCTGTATATTTTACAATTTGTTTACCCATTTACTTGTTGGTGGGTATATGGGTGGATGGGTGGTTTTAAATTTTTGGCTATTATGAATAAGGCTGCTATGAACATTTATATACAAGTATTTGTGTGAACATTTTCATTTTACTTGGATAAATACCGAGGGCTGAAATTGTCCCATTGTATGGTATCTATTTAACTTCACAGGAAATTGCCAAATTGTTTTCCAAAGTCATTGTGCCAGTTTAAAGTTCCCACAAGCAGTATGTGAAAATTCCAGTTGCTCCACATTTTTGCTGATACTCAACATTGTTGGTCTTTTTGAATTTTAGCCATTTGATGAAGTGTGTAGTGGAATCTCATTGTCGTTTGAATTTTTGTTTTCTTTATGGCTAATGATGCTGAATATATTTTTGTGCCATTATTGGCCATTTGTATATCTTCTTTTGTGATATGTCTGTTCAATTTTTTGCCCATTTTATTAAGCTGTCTTCTTGTTATTGAGATTTTTTTTTTTCCTGAGACAGAGTCTTGCTCTGTTGCCCAGGCAGAATGCAGTGGTGCAATCTCGGCTTACTGTAACCTCTGCCTCCTGGGTTCAAGCAATTCTCCTGCCTCAGCCTCCCGAGTAGCTGGGATTACAGGCACGCACCACCACGCCCAGCTAATTTTTGTATTTTTAGTAGAGATGGGGTTTCACCATGTTGGCCAGGCTGGTCTCGAACTCCTGACCTTGGGATCTGCCCGCCTTGGCCTCCCAAAGTGCTGGGATTACAGGCGTGAGCCACCACACCCGGCCAGTTATTGAGTTTTTAAAGTTCTTTATATATTCTGGATGCAAATCCTTTGTGAGATACATGTACTATTAATGTTTTATCCCAGTCAGTATCTTGCCTTTTAAATTTTCTTAATACTTTCTGTTATGGGATGAATCGTGTCATCCCTCCAAAATTCCTATGTTGAAGCCCTGACTCCCAGGACTTTAGAATGTGACCATATTTGGAGATAGGACCTTTAATAAAGTGCTTAAGTTAAAATGAGGCCATAAGATAGGCGCTAATTCCATCGGATTGATGTACTCATGAAAAGAAGAATGTGAACACACAGGGATTCATGTTCACAGAGGAAAGACCATGTGAGGACACATTGAGAAGGATCCATCTGCAAGCCAGAGAGAGATCTCAGGAGAAACCAGCCTGCTAATACCTTGTTCTTGGACTTCTAACCTCCAGAACTGTGAGAAAATGAATTTTTGTTGCTTAAGTCACCCAGTCTATAATATCTTGTTATGACAGCCCTAGCAAACTAATATAATGTCTTTCAAAAAGTAAATATTTTTAATTTGATGAAACTTAATATATCCCTTTTTTTCTTTACCATACATGCACAGATCTGTTTCTTGGCTCTCTGGTCTGGTCCCATTGATCTATACCCAGGTGTCTGTTTTTAATGATCTCCATAGGTTATTATAATCCATAGCCAAGTTTTGAAACCGCTGGGTTGTCACAAGGTGAAGAGATCAAGACCATCCTGGCCAACATGGTGAAACCCCATCTCTACTAAAAATACAAAAGTTAGCTGGACATGGTGGCACAAGCCTGTAGTCCCAGCTACTCAGGAGGCTGAGGCAGGAGAATAGCTTGAACCTGGGAGGTGGTGGTTGCAGTGAGCTGAGATCACACCACTGTACTCCAGTCTGGCGAGAGAATGAGACTCTGAAAAAAAAAAAAAAAAGCTAACTCTTTAATTCTATGAGAGCTCTTTCAACAAGTAACCACCTCTATGAATCAACACTAGGAAGGCAGAGAATAATAAAATAGATAATCTCCAAGAATCCTAGAGTACTTGTATTCTCCCTTAGCACCTGAAGTCATCCAGAACTCAAAACAAGTATGGATTAAAAGAAATTACCATGAAAAGAAATGTTGCCTAATTGTTGAAAGTCCCAGAAGCATATGTTAAATGGCATTAGCATTCATTCATAAACATCTGTTAAATTATGTTATGTCGATACAAGCTAAACTGAGTATTACTTTGACATAGAAAGATATTCCTTCATTTAATATAAGAGGAGGAACAAAAAATGTCCTGGGGATGGAGTCAGATGAACTGATAAACACTGTGCTAATGGATAAATCCTAGCACAGTGTTTACCATTGAGTGCACTCATTGAAGTATATGGTATCCCCAGTGCCTGGAATGTACCCAACACATATTTGATACTGGCTGGGTTGAATGAATGTGCTAAGGAAAAGGGGAAAAAGTGTTTAGAAAATTTGTAAAAGAACCAAGTTAGTGAAGTATCTAGTAAATGATACAAATACATAGAGGGTAGCAATTTAATGATGTAGTTAAGAGCAAAATCATTAAAGTCGGAAGCTTCTAGGTTCAAATCCTAACTGTATTTACCAACAGTGACCTTAGAAGAGGTATTTAACTTCTCTAAGTATTACTTACTTCTGTAAATATTGGGAAAATAAACACAGTATTGTTGTGAGCATTAAGTAAGGTAACAATTACTTATTTAATGCCTCTCTTTGCAGCTGTAAGTTCCACTTCTTAAGAGTAAGGACTGCATTTGGTTTATGACCTTATTTTAAAGCATAGAAAAATGCTATATATTAATTCTGTAAATATTTGATGAATGAGTGATAACATTAAATACTTAATATTGTGTTTTGTATATGATAAGCCTATATTAATAGTAACCCATTGTTATTTTGAATTTTATTCCATCTCAGGAAGGACAATATTGTTACAATCAGCTAATTCCCCATTGATGACACGAGCTATCTGTTATAAAAACAAACAATCCAGTTAGAAACAGTGTACTTAATGTAGTACAATTTATTAATGGTCCACTTCTTGATGGATATTCATGGGGTCATAGGCTCTAACTGTGTCATAAGCAATTTTCATGCTGGTATTTGAAAGGGTCAATTATTGGTTCAAATGACATTTCTTTCAACAGGACACATTTCCGTGGATGACTGAACACATGAATGTATTCAGAGTAGAATTAGCACCACATCTTGGTTGTCTTCATTATGAAAAGTGCATGAAGGCAGACATAGAAATTTCTTTTCTAATGTATGTGTGGCTCTGGTTTCCATGGTCATTAAAAAAATTTAGAGCAAACAGCCCATTCCAAAATGATAATTAGAAAATGGGCTGCTTGTGATTAATAGCTGGTAGATTCTGAGACCTCAAGTACTTGGAAAATCTTGGCTCTAGCTTCGTAATTATTTATTAGCTATTAAATAATCAGGCCAGAGGTAGAGCTCAGAGACTTTGTGAATCCACTATACTCTTACTGAGGGCACACGCACAGAAAAGTTAAGTGTTATATTTGACGAAGTAGCACAACCATTTTCAGAGAAATCAAAGTACTAGCATTTTATTCATTTTGTAAGTTAAATGTTTGTGGGTCAGTAATCCAAGCGGGGCCAAAATGGCAAATTCCATCATTCCAGCAGTTTATGATATAGCATTTGCTGATACATACATGTTTTAGAAGTCGGCCTGCCCCACTGGTTGAGTGGTGTTGGACAGAGAAGATGCAGAATGCTGGTTGCATAGATCCAAATGCTGTCATTTGAGGGCTGACAGAAGAGCTCAGTGAAAATCACAACCTCTCTCTTTTTTCTCCCTCATCTATTCTCCTCACATTGGCTTAAGCACTAGAAATTCCCACTTTTATGCACATCCTGACTTTAAGATGTTGAAATCTCGTATTAAAATACAAGTGTATTATCTTCCATGAGGAACTGGGTTTATTTAAACCAGCAATTAATTACTTAATCACTGATAACACCATTGAATCTATTTTTAAGTCATAAACTTTGGGATCAGAAGGATCTTGAGTTCAGGTTCTAATTTTGCTACTTTTGAACTGGGCACATTATCCAGAGATTCACATTTCGCAGTGACAAAACTACTGAAATTGAGCTTTTCCTGAAAGAGGAAACCAAAGTCTTTACTGAGTGATCAAAGATTCTTTTGATAATTGATTCCAAAAGCTATTCATGCTTCACAGCAGAGAACATACATTTTGATAGTCCTGAAAAATTTAAAACAGGATTAACTTCAGCAGCCTCTGGAAGAATTACATCCATGAAATTCTGTATTCATGTGATTGTCTTGGTTTTTCTAGAAGGTTACTACATACTAAAGCTAGCTGTTAGATTGGTTTACGAAAATTCTGTCTTCCATGTCATTTCCTGTCTTGTATAAGAGGAATCCACTTTAAAAAAACAACAACAACAACAACAAAAAAAAAAAAAACCAAAAAAAACTGGCCAGGCACAGCGGCTCACGCCTGTAATCCCAGTACTTTAGGAGGCCGAGGCGGGTGGATCACGAGGTCAGGAGATCGAGACCATGCTGGCTAACACAGTGAAACCCTGTCTCTACTAAAAATACAAAAAATTAGCCGGGCGCGGTGGCGGGCACCTGTAGTCCCAGCTACTCAGGAGGCTGAGGCAGGAGAATGGCATGAACCCAGGAGGCAGAGTTTGCAGTGAGCTGAGATTGTGCCACTGCACTCCAGCCTGGGCGATAAAGTGAGACTCTGTCTCACAAAAAAAAAAAAATGCCTATCAAAATTCAATACAAGAAACATTTTGTTTATACTAAAGAACTGGTATGCTTATTTTTTCCTGATGGTGAAAACAATGTAACTTGCTTTTCATTTGGCTGCCAGGGATCTTAGAGACACAGTTAAAGATAAATTCCATAAATTATATAGCTCTTTATGACCGACATTTCTGTGCTCTTCTTCATTTGATCTTAATATTTCTCATCTTATTTTTATTTATTACCTCCTTTCAATTACTTGTTTCTAATTATTGTATTTTGTGAATTCTAGTTGTAAACTGCTTTAAATTCTTTATACATTGAGAGGAAACAATATATAAATACACTAACAAATATAGTAAAGGGATATTTCATCTGGTGTATGCCCATTTTGAAAAAATAAATCTTATAATGCTTATAGGAGGTGGTGGATGATGGAACTGTCAAACAAGGTTTATCAGTTATCTATTGCCAGGTAACAAACCACTTGAATAGGTAGTAGCTTAAAGTAACAAATGTTGTATTATTGCTCATGAGTCTGTGCATTAGCCACACAGTTCTGCAGGCAGTTGGTGGATCACCTAATGCCAATTGGTCTAGGATGATCTCCTTCATGTGTCTGGTAGTCATCAGGCTGGTGGGCTATTGGGTCTCAACTGGGGCAACTTGTTTCTGCTTCATTAATTCTCTCATTCTCTGGGAGACTAGCTTGAGCTTCTTCGGAGGTGGTTTCAGAGCAGCAAAAGAGGATAAGTGACATTGAGCATCCATTTTTCTTGCCTCCACCCATGTCATGTTTTCCAACATCCCCTTGACCAAAGCAAATGACATAGCTGAGGTTAGATTTAGGGGGTAGAGAACTAGATTCCACTTCTTTATGAGAAGAATGGCAATGTCACATTGCAAAGGGACATTAGTATAGAGATGAAAATATTTTGCAACCAATTATAATCAACTCCACAAAGTAAAAATTAAATAAAGACTAATATATCGTTAATAAAAAAAAACAGATAGGAATCATTGTTTATTGAGCACCTACTGTGTACAAGGTGGTAATTGTAGAACATTCTGTTTAGAGGAAGGAGCTTGTTTTAACTACAGAATTTGAGAGTCAATGACAGAGCATTTTCCATGACATTGTCTGGGCAGGATTCCATGTATCTGCTTTATAAATTCATCAATTCCAGTTCTCTCTCCTCTGTTTCAAGATAGGTCTTGGCATCTGGGCAACTGGAAGTTGCTGGAAGATTAAATAGTTGGGGTAGCAGACTGTGAAATTTTCAGGATACTGTAGATAAGAGAAATCTATTATGATTTCAGGAAGTTGCAGCTATGGTTTTGCTTTGTGAATGATTAAAGGATCTGCCAGTATAAGGATGTGGGAAACTAAAATTTGCCATGAACAGTTAATGGCCTTTTCCTCCTTTGTATGTTAAGGATCAAGGAATCACAGATCTCAGAACTGAAAAGAATGTTGAAAGGTCATACAGATATGCCCTGTTGCCTTATTTGATTTCTGAATCTCCCACTTAAGTACCTGTTTCGTCTATGTGGGCAGCATGCCCAGTTCTAGTTCTTGACTCACCTGTCTTTCCTTGGCTTTGAAATTGTGTCTACTGCCACTGCTTCCAGACC
The DNA here is from genome assembly GCF_000001405.40 of Homo sapiens. Classification (NCBI taxonomy): domain Eukaryota; kingdom Metazoa; phylum Chordata; class Mammalia; order Primates; family Hominidae; genus Homo; species Homo sapiens. Next base: position 30,113,492 of record NC_000011.10, on the reverse strand, counting down.
ATTTTGAAAGCTCTCATCTCAATGGAATGGGATGGGCCTGGGAGCTCTGCTAATAAAGTCTTAGAGAATGAGGGGAAAGGAGGAGACAATGGCTAATCTATCCCTCTATTATTTGGTCAGACGAGGAGAATGTCAGATTTAGACACAACATTTACTGAACACTTATTCTGTGCCAAAAACTATGCCAGATGATTCCACAAATTTTCTTATTTAATTGTAAGGAATTTCTGGCCAAGATCAAGTGGAAATTCCAGAGACTTAGATTGTCACTCTTAGCCTGCAATACAAGAAAATAAAAAAAAACACATTTTAAAAATTAACTGCACCCAACATTTCACATTTTAAAACTATTAAAAACATAACTTTTTATCTTTAGACATCTTGGATTTATTCTTTTGTGATGGTGTGGGGAGGTCCTGCATTGTGTCATAGGGTGAAGAGGAAAGATGTAAGTGAGGTATAAACTGTGACAGCTGTGAATTGGGCTTCTTTAGCCTGCATTCAATATGCATGAATAAAATCTTAACTAGGTTGTTCATTCAGACATGGAATCCTTGATGAATGAATATTCAAAATTCATTGACGAATTTCATACCATCTTTCAAAGATAAGTGCCAAGTCCTTCTCTTATACTCTGAACAAAATAAGATATGTAGAAGAAGAGAATGCACTTTGAATTTCTATTCATTCTCATCCCTTCTTCTAATTACACAAAGCATCTTTTATATAGGAAATGCAGAGACAATTTTCTGCTTGAGAATGAGGGCAGACTTTCTTTTGCAAGTCAATAGCACAGTCCTTATGTTGTTAGGTAGAGACAAAATGACTTTGTATAACAATGCGTTTCTTTACTCCATTACTGAGAAGTTCTAGGTCTCTTATCAACTTCAAAAACTTAATAGGGAGCTATGTTCATTTGTAGAGACCTCATGAGTTAGAGAGAGAGTGTCAGATGTTGGCAAAGGGGATAAACATGAGCCAGAAAATAGGAGAGACTTCATAAGGGTTGACAAGTACAAGAAAGTACTCTCAAAGGAAGTCTTTCAATAGGCCATTAATCAGCTGATGGAGTTGAAGATCAGTGGCTGTCCAGTTCCTGTAACCATTCGTTGCTGCTCTGGTAGTGGATGCTCTTAACAGAAGACCAAGTTTCTGGGAGTCCTAGGGCAAAGAGAGGGGAATGTAAACCAAATGTTAAGAGAATTTGGATTAGAGCACCTACAGCAAGTAAGAAAGACATATACAAATAAATAAATGAAACAAACTGACACAGAAAACCAGAGGGAAACACAAATAAATAGATCTTTGGGAAGGGACATGGAATATGAAAAGTACTAAAGCAAATTAAAGTTACTATCTGGCCCAGACACTGGAGTATGTCTGTCCACAATTAGGACCCCAGCTACCTGGAAGGGGAAGGGAGGAGGGATCCTGACGTGATGCAAGTCACCTTTAACATGTTATCAAGCAGATAATCTTAACCAAACATGAATAAATAAGAAGAAGAAGAAAGAAAAGAAAACAAAACACAAACAGTAAACTGAGAAGCAAGGCCAAGAACCCAGAGGGAGTATTTTAGTAGGTTTTAAATGGGCAGCAGAGTAGGTTAAAAAAACAAACAGGAAAAATGAGGAGAGTTTCTGATCAGGGCAGGTAGAGAGAGTGTTGGGGACTGTCAAAGGCCAGTGTGGGAACAAGGCTCATTGTAATAGCTAATAGATTTTTGAAAACAATTTCCTTTATATATTTTTAAATCAAAACCAGTGCTTGTAGAGACATTCCATTCAGCAACCTGTGTTCTATTCCTGCAGATCCTGTAGTTGCTCAACAAGTCACAAGAAAGTAAATATAAACACACACAAAAAAATTATTCTAAACTTGACTTCACTCTTCCTTCCAATAGTCCTCCCATCTATATTTAGCTTTTATTCTTTGCATTTTCTTTTTAAAATCAATGACAAACAGAAGAAGAAATTCTTAAAAAAGCTCAACCTCACTGATCATTAGAGAAATGCAATCAAAACCACAATGAAATACCATCTCACACCAGTCAGAATGGATATTGTTTTTTAAGTCATATAAACAACAGATGCTGGCATGGTTGTGGAGAAAAAGGAACACCTTTACATTGTTGGTGCAGGTATAAATTAGTTCAACCATTGTGGAAGACAGTGTGGCGGTTCCTCAAAGACCAAGATGCAGAGATACCATTTGATCCAGCAATCTCATTACTGGGTATATATGCAAAGGAATATACATCATTCTATTGTAAAGATACATGCATGAGTATGTTCATTGCAGCACTATTCACAACAGCAAACAGTTATTGAGTACTTAGTGCATGTTAGGTTCTGTCAAAAGCCATTTACACCTAGTTATTCCTTATGAATCTGCCTTGAGGCAGATACAATTATAAACCACCACTCACAGGCCAGGAAACTAACATATAGTGAGGGTAAGTTGCCTGCCCAAGGTCACGTGGCTAGAAGGTGGCAGAGCATGGCATGCCTGGCTCCAGGGGCTGTGGGCTTCCCCATTCTGCTGTGCTGCTTCTCTCACAGCTGCTTATGATTGCCATGATATTCATCTCTGCATGGCCCCATGACTCAGGTGAGCCCAGGACATGTCCTTAAAACAACCCCGTCGCATTGGGCAGATGCAATGTGACACCTGGTGTTTTATAATCTGTTTACATGCTTTAAAGAAACTGTTCAAGCTAGTGTTGGATTTGTCAGTCCACTGTTCAGAACTGAAGGAGGATTGTGGGGGACATTTGATTATTTTATCATTAATTTGTCACATCTTTCATTTAGCTCCACTTTGAATGATCATTAATAGACTTTGGTCCTTATCTACAGAGTTCAAAATTCCATATACCATCTCTGCTTTGAGGAGTCAACAGCCTGAAGAGAGGCACTTAAATAAACACTTAAGCAATTGTTTTAGGACTTCTTTAATTGCTTTATAATAAGCAATACTATCCCAGATATCTATTTTGTTCATTACATTTTATCAAAACTTGTGAGAATGTGAAGCAGAGCTGTCATACTATGGGACCTACAGAAGAGGTATAAGTTGGGAGTGGTGAGGCCAGGGCTTAGGGAACCAACATGGAGTCAGATTGTCTACCTTCTTCCTCCAGAAATGGTCAGCTGGTCAAAACTCCATGTCCAAAGGATGCTAGGGTGTTCACGGAGTCCCTAGGGATTGGTCAGCATTTATGAATTCCTATCAAAGAGGCTGGAGTACTTGCACAGTTTTGGTACAAGGAAGTAAAGCAGCCCATTTGAACAAATGCAGAGCCTAAGCCAATCAGCTGTGTAAAGGCACAGAGTCTATTCTTGTTGGTAAGAAATAGGTAGAGATTCAGGGATTCAGCCTGGTAAGAAATGGCCAGCTAAAAGCACGCACCCACATTTAAAAATCGGAGCTGGATATGGATTCTGGCTCTAGTCTTTATTAGTGAACTGCTTAACAACCTGAAGCCTCAGCTCCCACACTTCTAAAATGGGCATAAAAATGCTGATGTTGAAGATTCGTCATGAATTTTTAAAAAGATAATGGGCGTGAAGCAATTAGTTCCTGATACACAGATGATGCCCATTAAGGTAGTTATTTTTCTTTCTATGGGGATAACAATCATGATGAGGATGTTGATCATTATGCTCTAGGGCAGAGTACTTTTAAAAAAAAAAAAATTGTGGTGTAAACCAGGAATAGGAGTGGGATGGTAGTGGAGAGAGTGTGCATAAACCCAGCTGTTCTGTCTGAGAACCCATGCAGGAGTTTGAGGAAGGTCAGCCTGGAAGACAGCCTGATGTTCAAATTCTGGTTCCTGCACATGCAGCTCAGGGCAGCAGATAAATCCTAGCCTTACATTTACCCACATTGTGAAGAGTAGAGGACATTCCATGATAATATAATACTAGGGCTGGTTCTCATCAGCTCTGAAATGAAGAGGCATTGGCCGCAGGTGGCTGGGCTTCAACACCCACATTTAGCTAGTGCAGGGCCAGAAGCAGGCAGGAACTAAAAGAGTTGCTCACCAGCCTCTCCTGCTGTATGGTAGGTCCTGCACTAAAGAATATGTTGGCACTTAATAGGTAATGATGAGCAATATCTCAGGTAGCATCTCTTGTGTGGCGCTTTAAAATAACTCAGAGGACTTGCTGAGGGCTGTATGTTGATCTGAGTCAATTGCTTGCAGCAGACTTGTATATCTTACTACTTCTTTGGTTCACAAAAAAAAATTATTCTTAAGGATGGATGACAGTGGTTAACATTGCTGTAAAAAGGCATTGACTGTTATCAGAAAGATATTGTAGCAAAAGGGAACACAGAGGATTTAGTAAAAATTCAAATATTTAATAAAATATTAGTACCATATTTTTTTCAATGCTAAGAAACCCATGATTGTGAGATTCACTGTCAGTTTAAGAGCAGCTTATTCTAGAAGTAGCTGATAATGAAGGAGTTGTTTACAACAATTTCAGAAGCAATGAAAAAAAAAGTTCATTTAAGTAAATTTAGTAGCTAATAATTTTTTAGCACTATTTAGGTTCCAGACAGTGTGCTAAGTACTTTACCTGGCTCATCTTATTTAATTATCACAACTCTGGGTAGCTACTATTATTCCTGTTTTACATATGAAGAAACAGAGGCTTGAAGTGTGTATTATTTAAAGTGATACTAAATACTGTAAGAGTTAACTCTGAAATCTCAGTGGATTCTTCTAATAGAAGTTTATGTATCATTCTCGTAAAGCCCAATGCTAGGGAAAGAAGGTTTTGGTGGTGGTGCGGAGGTGACCCACATAGTCACTCAGGAATCTAGGCTGAGAGAAGTTCTACCATCTTCAACACGAGGGTGTTGTGGTGGCCCTGGACGTTGATATCCAGCTGGAAGATTGGGGAAGAGAGCACAGAGGATTATGTGGGATTTTATGGGCCCAGGACATGGAGTGGAATTTATCAATTCTGCCCGCATTCTCTTGGCCAGAACTCATTCACATGGCCCTTTCTAGATTTAATAAAGGCTTGAAAATGCAGTCACTGGCTGTCCAGCTGCTTCCCCTCAAAGGCTCTACCCTATGAAAGAAAAGGATACATCTTTGATGGACAGCAGCCATTCCTGTGGCACAATGGTTAAGTAGATTGTGAAAGGTCACACAATTGGCAAGTGACAGGGACAGAATCTAAAGCCATGTCTGTCTGACATCAGAATCTACATTGTTAGTATTCTGTATGCACTAGAGTGAGAATATTTGATACAGACAGAAGCAGGTGTTTTTTTTTTTTAAGTTGCCTTTATTATCAGCTACAACTGAGGAGCTCAGAAAGAAATGCTATGCCTTGCTGCCTCCTTTTTAAGAAGATAGAATTGCCTGGATGATGCATTGTTTTTGCAGTGACTCACCCTGGATTGCCTTAGTTCAGTAAATTGCATCACATCATGAAACCGAGTGACATCTTTGAAGCCAGAGCTCGGTACTTCTCAAAGTAACACATGAGAAATGAAAACTGAGCTTCATTTTCTAGAGAAGCTGAGAAAACAACTTAAATGTCAACAGTAACACCAAGTTAAATACAATTTCTATTAATTTATATATCCTATTCAGTAAGTCTATCCGTAATTAGTTGAGATTCAATGAATTGTATGCAGGTTGTTCCTCAGACTGATTCACCTGACTTTCTCGGAGTGAATTTTTCACACTACTTTGGCAAGTGTGATGCTGGAAATAATGATATTAGTTGGAAATAATGAATGTTTTATCTGTACCAGAATCTTGCCTAATTGCTTCTCATGTATTACCTCATTTAATCTTTTATTGGTTATGGTAAAGGGTCTCTCTCAAAAAATACTGCATGAGAAAGGTATTATTATTATCATTTTCATTATACAGATGAAGAAACTGAGACCCATTACTGTAAAATAACTTGCCCCAGTTCACGAATTAGAATAAAGCTGGGATGTGACCAGATGGTGTGATTTTAGAGCCTGCAGTGTTAGTACACTCTTCACTCAGGCCTCCTTCTGCCACTGTGGATGGTGGACAATAAGTAAAGTGAAAAGATGGGAGAATTGGAGACCTAACATTTATAAAGAGCCTACTAGGTTCTAGGAATTTCATAAATGTAAACAGCTGCCCAGGTGTGCTCCATGGTCTCATAGTCTAACTCTGTTTCAACACTATTTAGCCCTTCTTAAGCTTCCATGAAAAATCAAATCAGCCTGTGAATTTATTTGTCTGGAAAAATGAATTACACTGCACTTGAAAATCCTGCAGCATTTAAGACCTGTCATGCCCACCCTGTCACCCCACCTCCCACCCTCTCTTATTTAACAGTACTGGGTTTTTCTTCTGCTTAAATTCTGTAGACTATAACCTTATTGAGAGGCATCTTCTCAACATAACAGTCAGTCTTCTTCCTACATTGTAATTCTATCTCTTACTCGCTGCTAAAAAGACAAGATATTTTTCCCGTATCCTAACATATGTGTTACCGCATTCAATTCTTACTGTTCCCTAAGGATAATAATTAATATCTCCATTCTGTAGACAAGGGAACTGACAGTGAGGTTAAGAGCTTGCTTCTGATAACACAGCTAGTTAAGCAGCCAAGTGGTGGCTTGAATCTCTATCTCTCTGACTTCAAATCCAGGGTTTTAAAAATTACCTCATACCTTAAATATTTGAATCCAGGCTATGACTTGACCTGAGAGCAGGATGAATATAATCTAAGGGCCAGACATGGTGGGGACTGGGCCATATGCTCTAGAATCAAGCCCAAGAGGTCAGTCGAGAGCAAAACAAGCCAAATGAGTAAAAGGGCATATTTTCCTCTAAGAAAATTTGCAGCTAAGAAAGTTTGGAAGTCAGAAAAGGGTCAGGACAAAAGAGTTTCAGTAAGGCATGGGGGGAATCTTAGGAAAGGAGTTAGACAGGAATATCAAATGAGTCCAGCTATGAGAGGCTGGTCCCAGAAACCAGTGTGAGTAGGACTGGCAGGTTGGGTTCTGAACCTGAGGGTCATCCCACAATGGATTCTTGGAATTTTCTCAGAGGCCAGCTGTGATACTACAAAACACTGTGAGGTCAGTTCTCTGTACAGCATGCTCCAGCCCTAGACGACAGCAAATATGCCTCTGTTCTTTGCTCTTTGGAAATTTACCTCAAGTTCACGGATTTATTTTTCTTTCTTAGTTTTTTCCCTTCCTTACAAATGATTTTTTTCCCTTATTTTATAGCATCTGATAATGCTAGACTTCTATAATCATGCCATAATCATATTATGGGTAGATGTGCTCCCTCCAGTTCCATTCAGGGTTTTATCTTCATTGGTCCACCAAAACTGCTCTTTTCAGGACCAACTACAACCTCTTCATCAACAAACCCAGAGCCAATTCTCAATCTTCATTGTACTTGATCTCCCAGTGTTAATTGCCATAGCCGACTGTTACTTTCTTGAAACACTAGAACACTTTCTTCCTTTGGGTTTTAGAACTCCATTCTTTCCTGGTTCACATCCTACCACACTGACATCTTCTGGGTTTCTTTACTGGTTTCTTTTCTGTGACCTCTAATCACACCATCCTCAGAGCTATATCCTTGGAAGTCTTCTCTTCTCTGGTTAGACCAGTTGCTTAGTGATTTTGTGTCTTCTCCTGGCTGTAAATACAATTCTATACACAATTTACTATTGTACACTGGCAGCCTTGACCTCTCCCCTGAACTCCAGTCTCAAATCCAATTTCCTCCTTGATATTCCCACCGTGATGCCCATCAGGCACATCAAACCTAAATGTCTGAAACCTTACTGATTTTCTCTACTCCTTCCTTCTAGTTTCTCAAGCTGAAAACCTTGGAATCACCCATGATGCCTCCTTCTGCTTCACACTCCAAATCCAAACTCTTAGCAAATTATTTATACTCTGACCTCAAATACATGCAGATCACTTTCTCACCATCTCCAGTATTGCCAGCCTAGTTCAAGCCAAAGCTACTTCACCTGGATTTCTGAAGAGTCTCCTAAGTAGTATCCTTGTTTCCGTACTTTGCCCCCCATAGTCTCAATATAGAGCCAGATTGCGCATTTTAAAACACAAGCTAAATCATGTCACTCCTCTGTTCAAAACCCTCCAGTGACTTCCTCCATCAAAGTAAACTCCAAGTCCTTAAAGTGGCTCAGTGGTCTGACACAACCTGATTCTCTGTTACCTCTCTGCCCTCATCTCATCTCTTACCTCTCTTTTCCTCTACTGTAACCACACTGACCTCCTTGCCATTCCTGAAACACACAAGCCATGCTCCACTTCAGGGCTTTGCACATGGAGTCCTGGAATGCATTCCACACAGGTATGGCTAGCTCCCATTCTTCTATTAGGTCTTTGTTTAATACTTTCTCAATGGTTCAGCTTCTAACCATAATCAAGTCTTTCCTTTCAGACCAATTCTACTGTAGGTAATAAATACAACAATGAATGTGTAGATACACATGCTCCCTGAAGGCACTGGAAAGTGATCAAAAGCAGGTAGATACTGGATGGAGTCAACATTTGGTAGAAAAAAGCACAGAGTGAATTTCTAGTTTTCAGAAGTTTTAATCTGAGAGCAGGCTCCAGTCTGCTCTGAATACGGCAACTAATACTCTGATATAAAGCCCATGGTCTTGCCATTTTGGAGCAATTACAGTCATCTGAGGAATCCCAGGAAAACAACAATAACAATGGCAACAGCAACAGTAGCAGCAGCAATAGAACCAGCAAAGAAAATGTCAAAATCCTGTGAATAAACTTTGTCAACATCTCTTAACAGGCCCTGAAACATGGAAGCAGGGGGCAGCTTCCAAGCAGCCCAGCTAAGCCTAAAAGAAATACATTGAGATTTGAGTTGCAGTGGAGACAGAACTTAAATTTGCTTACAGCCCCAGTGAACTTCCTGCTTAAAAACAAATCAATATTCTTGGCAGCAACATTTCAGAATCTCTACAATATATCATTCCTAATGTCCAGGTTGTAATCCAAAATTATTGGATATATGAAGAAACGGGAAAATGTGACTTATTCTGAAATGGAAACACAATTAATGGGGCTGACACCAAGATAACCCAGATGTTGAAATTTGTGGACAAGAGTTTTAAATCAGCAATTTTAAGTATTCTCAAAGTTGGAAAAAATATGAACATGATGAATAAAAAAACAGAAAATATCATCAGATAAATAGAAATTACTTTTTTGGCACAATTGTTTGCTTTATTCTACAATATAATATATATTTTTTATTATACTTTAAGTTCCGGGTTACATATGCAGAACGTGCAGGTTTGTTACATAGGTTGGCACGTGCCATGGTGGTTTGCTGCACCCATCAACTCATCACCTACATTAGGTATTTCTCCTAATGCTTTTCCTCCCCTAACCCCCGCTACCCCCTGACAAGCCCCAGTGTGTGACGTTCCCCTCCCTGTATTCATGTGTTCTCCTTGTTCAACTCCCACTTATGAGTGAGAACATGTGGTGTTTGGTTTTCTGTTCTTGTGATAGTTTGCTTAAAATGATGGTTTCCAACTTCATCCATGTCCCTGCAAAGGACATGAACTCATCCTTTTTTAGGGATGCATAGTATTCCATGGTGTATATGTGCCACATTTTCTTTATTCAGTCTTCTTGATGGACATTTGGATTGGTTCCAAGTCTTTGCTATTGTGAATAGTGCCACAATAAACATACCTGTGCATGTGTCTTTACAGCAGAATGATTTATAATCCTTTGGGTATATACCCAGAAATTACTTTTTTAAAAAATTTTATTATTATTATACTTTAAGTTTAGGGTACATGTGCACAACGTGCAGGTTCATTACATATGTATACATGTGCTATGTTGGTGTGCTGCACCCATTAACTCGTCATTTAGCATTAGGTATATCTCCTAATGCTATCCCTCCCCCCTCCCCCTACCCCACAACAGGCCCCGGTGTGTGATGTTCCCCTTCCTGTGTCCATGTGCTCTCATTGTTCAATTCCCACCTATGAGTGAGAACATGCAGTGTTTGTTTTTTTGTCCTTGTGATAGTTTGCTGAGAATGATGGTTTCCAGCTTCATCCATGTCCCTACAAAGGACATGAACTCATCATTTTTTATGGCCGCATAGTATTCCATGGTGTATATGTGCCACATTTTCTTAATCCAGTCTATCATTGTTGGACATTTGCGTTGGTTCCAAGTCTTTGCTATTGTGAATAGTGCCGCAATAAACATAGGTGTGCATGTGTCTTTATAGCAGCATGATTTATAGTCCTTTGGGTATATACCCAGTAATGGGATGGCTAGATCAAATGGTATTTCTAGTTCTAGATCCCTGAGGAATCGCCACACTGACTTCCACAATAGTTGAACTAGTTTACAGTCCCACCAACAGTGTAAAAGTGTTCCTATTTCTCCACATCCTCTCCAGCACCTGTTGTTTCCTGACTTTTTAATGATCACCATTCTAACTGGTGTGAGATGGTATCTCATTGTGGTTTTGATTTGCATTTCTCTGATGGCCAGTGATGATGAGCATTTTTTCATGTGTTGTTTGGCTGCGTAAATGTCTTCTTTTGAGAAATGTCTGTTCAGATCCTTTGCCCATTTTTTGATGGGATTTTTTGTTTTTTTCTTGTAAATTTGTTTGAGTTCATTGTAGATTCTGTATATTAGCCCTTTGTCAGATAAGTAGGTTGCAAAAATTTTCTCCCAATCTGTAGGTTGCCTGTTCACTCTGATGGTAGTTTCTTTTGCTGTGCAGAAGCTCTTTAGTTTAATTAGATCCCATTTGTCAGTTTTGGCTTTTGTTGCCATTGCTTTTGGTATTTTAGACATGAAGTCCTTGCCCGTGCCTATGTCCTGAATGGTATTACCTAGGTTTTCTTCTAGGGTTTTTATGGTTTTAGGTCTAACATGTAAGTCTTTAATCCATCTTGAATTAATTTTTGAATAAGGTGTAAGGAAGGGATCCAGTTTCAGCTTTCTACATATGGCTAGCCAGTTTTCCCAGCACCATTTATTAAAAAGGGAATCCTTTCCCTATGGCTTGTTTTTGTCAGGTTTGTCAAAGATCAGATACTTGTAGATATGTGGCATTATTTCTGAGGGCTCTGTTTTGTTCCCTTGGTCTATATCTCTGTTTTGGTACCAGTACCATGCTGTTTTGGTTACTGTAGCCTTGTAGTGTAGTTTGAAGTCAGGTAGTCTGATGCCTCCAGCTTTGTTCTATACCCAGAAATTACTTTTTAAAACACATGCACTAAAACTATAATTCCAGAATGCAAAAATACACTCTCTGAAATTTTAAACATTAACTGGATGTACTTCACAGAATAGTGAAAAATGGCAGATGTGTCAAAGAACTTAAGAAAAATATAATTGAAGTGATTTAATCTGAAGAACAGAGAGGAAATGATTTTTAAAATATACAACATATGTGCAATTGCAGTCTCAGAAATAGAGAAGACGATGAATGGTGCAAAAAAATGTTTGAACAAATAGCAACTGAAATGGTAAAAGACAAACATCACTTTCTCAGTGAGGTCTTCTGGTATGAACTGAATGTTTGCATTTTATTCCCCCAAAATTCATATTTCAAAATTCTCACCTACAATATGATGATATCTAGAGGTAAGGCCTTTCGGAAGGGATTAGGTCATAAGGGTGGAGCCCTCATGAATGTGATTAGTGTCCTTATAAAGAGACCCAAGAGAGCTCTCTTGTGCCTTTCCTACCATGTGAGGACACACTGAGAAGGTGCAGTCTACAAACCAGGAAGCAAATTCGCATCAGACAGTGAATATGTCAGTGCCTTCATCTTGGACTTCCCAGGCTCTAGCAACTGTTTGTTGCATAAGTCTATGTTGTTTTTTATAGCCACCCAAATAGACTCAGACACCTTCTCAGACTACTTTTTGTTAGACTGCAACCTCCTTTCTTCCCAGTATTGTATATCCTCCTTTATGCCTTATTTTTCTCTATATCACTTATATCCATCTGATATACTAGATACTGTACTGGGATTTAAGCTCCACAGGAATGAGTATTTTAACAAACATTTTCATTGCTATATCCTTAGTGCCTAGAACAATACTCACCATATGGTAGGTACTTAATAAATATTTGTTGAATGTTGAATACATGAATCTCACTTGTATTCCTAACTTTGAATGCAAAATTTCCAAGCATCATCACTGAGTGTATGGTGCTTATGCTCAAATGACATTCACTCTATGAGCAAGAGAGTATGGGTAACTTTTTTATTCTCTCTTCAGTTTCTCAAGTGGCTTTTCAGAGCCCATCACACTGCAATCAATGAACTGGGAACTGTTTTCTGAATTCTCTCTCTGTAGTTTGAATGTAGAGTGAGGAATTCACCTGAGCACCTGAATTCTTATCTATTCTTATCTGTGCATTTCCCTAAATTAGCTTCTGTGGTAGAAACTGAAATCTCCAAGGCACATATATTTCACATTCAAAAGCATATTCTTAACATTGTGTTACAGGTGTCAGAATTCATCATGTGTCAGATAAATCCTAGAAAGCAGATGAGCACATATCTTAGATGACACCTTCCTACTGTGGCCTCACTCCTTTTTTCCCCTCAGATATCTAAACAACCAGAGCAATAACATTTAGGTGATGTTGTGTTTACTGTGTACCCTCCATCTGGGTGAAGGCAGACATGTAACGGGGCTTGCCCACTTTGATGTTGTAAAGGGCTTGCCCTGGGCAGCATTGTGAAGGAGGCACAGTTTGACTTGGGTGTGTATCCACTGTGTGTCAGTCTTGACCTGCAGTGCACCAACCTGTTCTTCATGAGAAGGAAATTATTTATAAGTAACCCAGTCACTTCCAGGAGTATAATTAACACAGCCAGGCAGTCTATCTCCTTTTCCTCCATTCTTTGTTTCTTCCACCAAAATGTATTAATTGTAGGTTTCATGCCAGACTCTATGCTAGACAGAAGTGATCCCTGCCCTTGTGGAGCTTAGAGTTTAATGGGAATTCAGGAAAATAAGTGGCTGATCAACATATAATGCCATTAATTATCATAAGAGAGCTTAAAGCAAAATGCTGTGGCAGCTAGGAAGAGCCATGTGACCTAATTTTGTGGGAGCAGACGTGGCTTCCTGGAGGTAGCTAAAGCCAAGAGGATGGGTAGAAGTTAACCAGCTAAAGTTAGAACAAGGTTGAAGAGGAAATTTCTGGCATATATAAAGACATAGAAGTGAGAGAGTTCTAGATGTGTCCAGATCACTGACAGTGGCTTGCTGTGGTTGGAGCTTATCACCATAAGGAACAGAGAGAGAAGTTGCTGAAGAAATAGGGAGTCATGCAGGGATTGGAAGGTGTTATTAAGGTACTCCATTGCATCCTAAGAGCAAGGGAAGTTAATGATGAAATTTTGGCTGAATGATGATGTAGTCAGGTTTTATCTCAGGAAAATTATCTCATCATACTGTGTAAAATAGATTTGTGGAAGTCTTGTGGGAAACTGGAGAAAGGAAGAAGAGATGGAAGCTGTTGGATCAATAAAGGTCAGATATGATAGAGCTTGAACTACATAATGGGAAAGGAGACTATAGAACAGATTTGAGAGATCTCTAGGAGGCTTCTTTAACCCCACAAATCAATAGAGCCTTGAAATTAATCTTGGTCATTCCTATTCAAAGGCTTAAAGCACAAACACTTGAAAGTTATTGTCAAAAGACTGCCCACTGGTCCATGTTACTTCTAGAAGGAAATTAAGGGGGGATGGTTAGGTATAACTGATGGAGAACTGAGTCAATCTTGAGGACCAGAGCCCAGAAGGATGCTAGAGAGCCTCTTGCCCATTGTGCTGGAGGGTGGAATCTGTATGTGACACAGTGCCAGGTGAAGGCAGAGTTTCTAAAAAGCATGGAGCTCCAGGAATAGAAAACAGGAGCCAAAGGGGTGAAGTAAGAAATTTAAAATACTGAGCAACAGAAGAGAGCATAGAGTAGCTTTTCTAAAGAAAAGGAGGAATCTAAAGAAAAGGGAAAGCATGCAATGGAATGACTGTCAGAGACCCCTAAGTGATATGGTTTGGCTGTATCCCAACCCAAACCTCATCTTGAATTGTAGCTCCCATAATTTCCACATGTCATGAGAGGAAGCTGGTGGGAGGTAATTGAATCATAGGGCAGGTCTTTCCTCTGCTGTTCTTGTGATAGTGAATAAGTCTTACAGGTTCTGATAGTTTTATAAAGGGGAGTTCCCCTGCACACACTCTCTTGCTTGCTGCCATGTAAGATGTGCCTTTGCTTCTCTTTGCTTCCCATCATGATTGTGAGGCCTCCCCAGCCATGTGGAACTGTAAGTCCATTAAACCTCTTTCCTTTATAAATTACCCAGTCTCAAGTATGCCTTTATTAGCAGCATGAGAACAGACTAATATACCCCTAACCAAGACTGTAGCTGGCCTTTTATGAAGAGGCAGGGACTTGGCTATCCTGCTCCCTTCAACTTGTGTCCCTTGAGCTTTTTCCATTTCCCTCAGGACACTGGAACCTGGGGTGAAACCCTGACCTTTACTTCAGCCAGCCAACGGGTGCCCTCCCTCTACTCAGCTGACAAAGGGGTATGCTGCCTATTACTTCAGCTAGTGGAGGGTGCCCTGCCCTTTACTTCGGAGAGACGAGGGATAATGATTGTGTTGTTTTCATCCTGTCAGTGTCAAATCCAGACCTCCAAGCCCACCCTGCCTTGCCTTGTTTTCAGATGATTTCTCTGAGTGACCCAGTAGGGTCACTATACTTGCTGTTTATAAAGCTGATGTGCACCTCCTCAGAGCTAAACCCTCACTTACCTGTGAAAACGCACTCCTTTTGTGTGTTTTTCTGGAGCTGAACTGGCTTTGCCATGCCTCTCTGCAGACATAATCATAAGATGTTGTTTCATCAATATTCTGATTCATATTCCTGCACACTACTCTTCGACCCTTCAACCCTCCTTTGCTCAACAGCTTCCTTTGTGTGATGTGTAATTGTGCCTGGGAGCCAAGGCTTTCAGTCTCTTTTCTGCCCTCTCTTGCTTGCTTTTGGTTTTCTCCAGGTCGGAAAACACAAAATGCTGGTCTGCTGGAGAAGTGAGAGTGGTTTAACTCTTTTACAGTGTTATTTTCATGATTTTCATGACCTTGTGCTCTCACAGAAGTTTAAACAGTTGAACTTATTTTCCAAGGTGCTTTGAAACTTCTAATTGAGAATGGAGATAGGATTGATGCTTAGAAGCTTGGTCATTCCAAAACAATCCTTACACAGGAAAAATCAGGAAATATGAAATCCACTTTAAAAATGTGTGATTCTCGGCCAGGTGCAGTGGCTCACGCCTGTAATCCCAGCACTTTGGGAGGCCGAGACGGGCGGATCACGAGGTCAGGAGATCGAAACCATCCTGGCTAATATGGTGAAACCCCATCTCTACTAAGAATACAAAAAATTAGCTGGGAGTGATGGTGGGCCCCTGTAGTCCCAGCTACTCGGGAGGCTGAGGCAGGAGAATGGCGTGAACCTGGGAGGCGGAGCTTGCAGTGAGCCAAGATGGCACCACTGCACTCCAGCCTGGGCAACAAAGCAAGACTCCGTCTCAAAAAAAAAAAAAAAAAAAAAAAGGTGTGACTCTCCTAAATGCCAAGAAAAAAATATATACCTGGCACCCCAAGGGATCATGACCTAATACCATACCCAATCCTGTTTCTCTCAGCCTAGTAATACTGTTCTCCTCAGAGCCCTCTCCATAAGGATCTTGGGATGTAAATAAGTTACAAGACTGGAACTGCATACCAGTCAGTGTCCTGTTGCTATTTACTGGCCCCGTTTCAGTTCCCTGTGACTCCCAGAGTAAGACAATGGGCCACATTGCCCTTTCATTAGATGTTTCATGCTTTTGGAAAGGAGTAGGGTGGACCAATGCAAGACTGTTCTAACTTTTGTTTTTCTTTTGTCCTTATTGCTACCTCTTGTCACTACCTGTCTCCTTAGCTCTCTATATATTCATTGCCACTTCAATGAGAGGTTAAAATTTCCCTGTGGATATGGTTCTATGCCAGAAGAAAAAGCTGTTTTGTCACTTTAAGGAAGGTACCAAAGTGAAAATGAAAGTGGACTTGCACTTTCTTCAGATGAAAAGTAGAAATATTAAGACCCAATACAATTGTGAAGCTGAATAGGGATAACCTGAGAAAGGCCTGGCACACAGCCTACTGCAGATGAAATGTGAAAATCCAGAATAGAGTCACATTGGCTGTATGGAGAGGAAAATATTCTTTAAGACTTCCTGAAATAGCACATTTAGGATGTATCTGTATCATTTAGGATGTGTCTGTATCTATATTCTTATCAATATCTATTCCAATGCTCACCAAATTGCTTATGTTTCTCTGTATAAATGGTCCATTTACATAAGAAATTATGATAAGAACAATTTATTTCTCTGGGGCATTTTGAACTTTTATTGAAAAAGGTAGATTTCTTTTTTTTTCCCTTTTTTTGTTTTTTTAATGTACCGCATAGCTTAATGGTATGAACATGACAGGAAAGATATTTAATTTTTACACTTAAGAGATTCATTTTCCTAGAATTTGATGCATTATAGTGGATTGAGAATCATTTAACTGCACACTTTAGCTGCAATATGAAAATTCTAAAAATGAATTTTCTGACATAGAAAAGTACATCACAGTAAAACTGCTCTTATGAAAGATAACATTTTTCCTTCCCTAAATGAAAAATAGATGAATAATCTGTTCCAATTTGTAAAAACTAAAACAAAGATTTGTTTTAAATTTGAACTACTCAGAAATAAATTTGGATAATTGCAATATTTGTGGTTATAGAGACATTTCAGCTTTCCACTTGTATTTTAGTTTCTTCTTTTTTAATACCTCCTTTTATTTCTCTTATATGTCAAAATGTTAAAAAAAAATCCAGGAAACTAGGAAAGTAGGATAGATTCAGATGTATAATCTATAATTCCCTTTCACTCCTAGTTATTTCTTTATAGACTTTGGGGTGGTGAAAATGGGAAAAGAACTAACTTTTATCGATAGAAATTCTGCACTAGGCCGTGTGCCAGGCCTTTCTCAGGTTATCCCCATTCAGCTTCACAATTGTTTATTGGGTCTTAATATTTCTACTTTTCATCTGAAGAAAGTGCAATCCACACAACTGGTAGGTGAAAAGCTAGGATTTAAATCTATGACTCTCAGACTTCAAAATGTGTCCTCAATACTGTACCATTTTGTTCCCTTCTACCCCATGTTATGATTCACTGAAAGTTAATTTATTCTTCAGAGTGAATCCCAATTTAATGAGCTCCAAGGGACATCAAAATTGTTAAACTCTAAACATCCTTCATAAAAGTTGCATTTAATGTGAAGTAATACTGAGGGAAATTTTTCTTTTCTTTATTAATTTTTTTAATGTGGATAAAATTCTTAATATTACTAGTATTTTCCTAGGAATACAGCTAACAAGAGAAGTGAAGGACCTCTTCAAGGAGAACTATATGTCACTGCTAAAGAAAATTAGAGAGGACACAAATAAACGGGAAAATATTCCATGCTCATGGATAGGAAGAACCAACATCGTGAAAATGGCCATCCTGCCCAATGTAATTTATAGATTCAATGCCATTCCCATTAATCTACCATTAATGTTCTTCATAGAATTAGAAAAAACTACTTTAAAATTCATGGGGAACCAAAAATAGCCCAAATAGCCAAGACAATCCTAAGCGAAAGAACAAACCTGGAGGCATCACGCTACCTGACTTCAAAGTATACTACAAGTCTACAGTAACCAAAACAGCATGATACTGGTACAAAACAGACACACAGACCAATGGAACAGAATAGAGATCTCAGAAATAAGACCACAAATCTGCAATCATCTGATCTTTTACAAGCCTGAGAAAAACAAGCAATGGGGAAAGGATTCCCTATTTAATAAATGGTGCTGGGAAAACTGGCTAGCCATATGCAGAAAATTGAAACTGAACCCCTTCCTTACACCTTATACAAAAATTAACTCAAGATGGATTAAAGACTTAAGTGTAAAACCCAAAACTATAAAAACCCTAAAAGAAAACCTAGACAATACCATTCAGGACAAAGGCTCAGGCAAGATTTCATGACAAAAACGTCAAAAGCAATTGCAATAAAAGCAAAAATTGACAAATGAGACCTAAACTAAAGAGATTTAAACTAAAGTTAAAAGGAGATTTAAATGAGTTAAATGAGATTTAAACTAAAGAGCTTCTGAACAGCAGAAGTGAACAGACAACCTATAAAATGGGAGAAAATTTTTGCAGTCTTTCCATGTGACAATGGTCTAATATCCAGAATCTACAAGGAACTTAAACAAATTTACAAGAAAAAAAAACTCCATGAAACAGTAAAAAAAAAGACATGAACAGACACTTCTCAAAAGAGGACATTTATGTGGCTAACAAGCATAAAAAAAAGATCAACATCACTGATCATTGGAGAAAGGTAAATCAAAACTACATTGAGATACAATGTCATACCAATCAGAATGGCAATCATTAAAAAGTCAAGAAACAACAGATGCTGGTGAGGCTGTTGAGAAATAGGAATGCTTTTACACTGTTGGTGGGAATGTAAATTAGTTCAACCATTGTGGAAGACAGTGTGGCGATTCCTCAGAGACTTAGAATGAGAAATACCATTTGACCCAGCAATCTCATTATTGGGTATATACCCAAAGGAATATAAATCATTCTGTTATAAAGGTACATGCACACGTATGTTCACTGCAGCACTATTCACAATAGCAAAGACATGGAATCAACTCAAATGCCATCAATGATAGACTGGATAAAGAAAATGTAGTACATATATACAATGGAATACTATGCAGCCATAAAAAGGAATAAGATCATATCCTTTGCAGGGACATGGATAGAGCTTGACACCATTATCCTCAGCAAACTAATGCAGGAAGAGAAAACCAACAACACATGTTCTCACTTATAAGTGGGAGCTGAACAATGAGAACACATGGACATAGGGAGGGGAACAACACACACTGGGGCCTGTTGGGGCAGGGTGGGCAGCAGGGGTAGGAAGAGCATCAGGATAAATAGCAAATCCACGTGGAGCTTAATACATAGGTGATAGGTTGATAGGCTCAGCAAACCACTGTGACATACGTTTACCATTAAATGTAAGTGTGTATATATATATATGTATATATATGTATATATTTATATATATGTGTGTATATATATATATACATACACACACATACATACACACATACATACATATATATATATACACACACATATATGTAGAATTTTAAAGTAGATTAACAGAGGAAAGCGTGTGGTACAGAAATAAATTGTCACTTTCCTTGTAGTGGTGCCTGACTGGGAAAACTTATTGTTAGATTACTTTGATTTCTTTATTTAAGTTTTGTTATGCCATTAAGCTATAAAATATATCTATGTAGGAGAAAAATTAGAATATATCAATAAACCACCATCCAGGGGCAGCTAAAGTTAACGTTTTCTTCTAGATTTGTATGTATATATGTAATTTTTTAAAGAGATAGTATATTTTACCTACTAGTTTAAAATATAAATTTTTCCCATTTAAAAATCTCTCCAATATTTTATGTCAAAAATAAACATCCATATTAATTTTAGAGACTAATATCATAAGAATGCTTCATAGTTTATTTAGCCTATATTGGACATTTATGTTGTTTCTAATATTTTATTTACATAATGTACTGTTATAAGCATCCATGTCCATACATCTTTGCACATCTCTGATTATTTTGTAGGATAAATTGCCAAGTGTAGTTGTTTTAGATATAGCCTTGAATATTCTTATTTTTGAATATTATAAAGGTAATATACTTGGGGGCAACCATTATTCAGAATTCAAGCTAGTCTGTATAATGACACTGTTCAGCTCAGAATGGAAATATCAGATCTTTAAGGGTAACAATTTGAGACACTTATGTAATATCCCAAGTTTGAATTTTGAATTTCTGACTTGTTGAATTATAGAGGACATTCTTACCTTACAGATGAGGACATTATTATTCATTTACATATCTGTCATTCCTTAATATGTAAAGTCCTTGAGAGCCAAGATCACATTCTTTTTAAATTTGTGTCTTAGAACCAAGCACCATATTGGCTCAGAGCCCCTGTTCAAAAAATATTCACAAATAACCTTTGGCCAGGCACAGTGGCTCATGCCTGCAATCCCAGTGTTTTGGGAGGCCTAGGCATGAGGCCAGGAGTTTGAGACCAGCCCAGGAAACATAGCAAGACCCCGTGTCTACAAAAGTAATTTAAAATAATTAGCTGAGAGTGGTGGTGCATGCCTTTAATCCTAGCTACTTGGGAGGCTGAGGTGGGAGGATTGCTTAAGCCCAGGAGTTTGAAGTTGCAGTGAGCCACGATTGTGCCACTGCACTCCAGCCTGGGCAACAGAATGAGACACTCTATTGAAAGAATGAAATAAAGAGAGAGGGGGAGAAAGAGAGAGAAAAGGAAGGAAGGAAGGAGAAGGAGGAAGGAGGAGGAGGGAGGAGGAGGGAGGGGAGGGAGGAGAGGGAGGGGGAGGGAAGGAAGAAAAGGAAGGAAGGGAAAGGAAGGAAAGGAAGGAAGGGAAAGGAAGGAAGGGAAAGGAAGGAAAAGAATAAAGGGAAGGGAAGGAAGGAAAGAAAGGAAGGGAAAGGAAGGGAATGAAGGAAAGAAAGGAAGGGAAAGGAAGGGAAGGGAAGGAAGGCAAGAAAGGGAAAGGAAGGGAAGAGAAGGAGGGAGGGAGGGAGAGAGAGGGAAACAAAGAAAAAGAAGGAAACAAAGAAAGAAATTATAAATAACATTTAGGTATTGAGTGGCTAACAGATTTGCTAAAGGTCAAATGGCTAGTTCAAGGTAATGTTCACACTTGAACCCATACTCTTGATTCCAGACTTCTCAATTTTACCAGTGCCTCATCCTGAATTTCCCCAACAGTGTAGGGTCTGCTACTTATGAGGGAGTGCCATTCCTCGAAAGCAGGAGAGAGGGAAAGAGGGAAGGAGGCAAGAAAAGAGGGAGCACAATTAGGAGAGAGAAAGAGGGAAGGAGGCAAGAAAGGAGGGAGCACAATTAGGAGGCCATGTTACCAAGAACATCACCTTTTGGTATCTAAGGCTACTGATTGCTTGATGTCATGGGATCATTTTTTCTGGGAGGGTTTTTGAACAACAGCAATTAAAGGTACTCCATTAGTAGGAGAAAGAGAGACATTTATCTGCCAGTTGCAATCTCCCATGAAGCATTAATCCGTAGGTTGTGCATATGTAGGCTTTGAATGAATTCCTCTGGAATGGGAGATATAAGACAAGATATATTGTTGGCTTCTACCTACTAATGTCAGTTGCTATGGGAGTTGAGATAAAACAGGTAGCTAGGGAATAAAGAAACAAGTGGTTGAGCAGATCTGACTAGTGCCTGCAAGTTGTCTGATACAAATAACTTACACATTCATTCTCTTGGTTAATAAATGTTAAACATATCCTTGCACATGGTGATGAGTTAATGGTGAGCGTATACTCAGAAACTAGATACAGTCTTTGTTCTCCAGGAACTTACAACTTTAGCTTAACTTGGGCTCATCAACCATATCTCTTTTTTATTCTCAGGTGCATTCCCAGATCTTTCTTTACTGTACCCTTTTTTTTTCAGAAAACTGTACTCTTGTAGGTTTGGCGAGTGAAGACACTGGAGGGCGTTTTAGAATGGGAGTTAAAGTGGTGACATCTCTAGCAGCAGTGGAATTTCCTCTGGGGTTCTACCTCCCTCATGGCAACCTGTGGCTCTGGCTCCATGGTTGGGTCTGCCTCCTGGGATCCTCTTATTCCCAATGGTGCTCCAGCCCTAGGAGTAGTAGTGGCTTCCTGCTGTTGTTAATCTATGGATGTCCTCACTGTCCCCTAATTTTTTAAAATTCTTTCATCACCTAGTAACCAATTAGTGAAACCAATTCCTTCTGCTTATGAAAGCTAGAGTGGTTTCTGTTTTACTAAGTGGACCTCAACAAAAACAGTTCTTCCAAAAAAAATCAACCAATGACTCCTAATAGTTTCATTGATCATGAAATAAATAATAATCTGCCAATGTAATATTGAAAAGGGTGAATATTTTGCTTCCCACCAGTTCATGAAAATCATCAGAGTAGTAAATTTTTAATGCAGACCTCATCATTAAAATCTTATTTTATTTGAAGCCACAAGGAGTTAATGTAAAACTAATCTAGAGGGATAAGCATAATCTTGTCAGGATGGACATTTTCTTCATGAAAAGGGAACATTATTTCTGCCAGGAGGTCATTAGAAATCAAACACATATGTTGAAATGCTGACTCTTACTTTAATTTTGAAAGAATGCTGCATATGGAAACTGATAAAAGAAAATATATATATTATTTTATCTTTAACTTTCCAATGCCTTCATTTCCTTTTTCTGAATATGAGGATAAACATGGAAGGAGAGATATAGAAAATGTTTTTAGGGAGGTCAGCTCTCTCTCTAGCCATTGTGCAACATCAAATGACCTTTATGAATAATACAGTGCAAGCATTTGCACAGCTGAGCTATGCTGTGTGGTCTTAAAAAATTAATGGTATCTGAAATTTGCATAAACTCTAAGCAATATTAATATTATTGCAATCATTATAATCTGTATTAATATTCATTATGTACTCTATTAGGTGCTTTATACATGTTATCTCATGAATTGTCAAAATATCCTATAAGCTCAGTATCATTTGTCCTATCTTACAGATGTGTAAAGCAAGGGAGATGGAGTACTATGCTCAGTTTTACAGAAAGTAAATAATGGAACTGTATATTAAATCCAAATCTGTAAGACTAGAACTCCCTACTGCTTTCTCCATACTATGCTACTATTGTCACTAGATAAAACTTTTTTTTACTTTAAGATCTGAAAATTATAAGTGATTACTGATATATAAACTATGATATTTTTAATAAACATAATTTAATTTTTTCTGTTCCTTAAAAGTAGAGTATGTGAATTATTTCTCTCAGCTGTTCTCTTTCATAGAGAGAAATTCATAGAATTATGAAATACAGTGAATCCATAGAGAATATCTAGTCCAACCTCCTAATTTCACAGGTGAAAAATCTTAGGTCTAGAGGCAGAAAATGATTTGGGCAAGAAAATTGCTACCTCTCAGAATCTTCATTTGCAGACAGGCATATGGTATCCATTGAGACTTAAATGGAGGAGAGAGGAATGGCAGGTTTAAATGAAGCCATCTGGAAGTTACCACTTGCCAAATGAAACAGATGGAAATTTTCTTTGACATATAGCAAGGGACCCTGATGTGGGCTTCTTCTGTCTATTCTGTTGGGAATTCTAAGATATAAGGACTTTTGGAGAAGGTCGGGCCATTGAGGATTCCAGCATGTGCCAGTCCCAATAGGCTTATATTTAGGATAGTTAGGAAAATATTATCAACACTCACAAGGAAAAGTGATATCCTATAATTTTCTGAAGGCTTTCCTAGATTGAGAGGGCACCTGTCACAGGCTGGTAGAGAATCAAAGTATAGTTTCCAGTTCAGTCTTGGGAAACTGGTAAAGAAAGAGGGAGTGATGTTTAAGATGATTGTGTGAAATGTTCTTTTATGACTCATCCCGTAAGGAGGTTTTCCTGAGAAACTGAAAGGACAAGTCAAATACTACAATCCCAGGAAAGTGAAAAGTAAAGACCAAGGGAAAATGAATACAGAACAAATGAAATAATTTTAACACTGATGATTAAGGTTAGTTTGAGTCATAAAAGGAGAAGGACAATTCAACGGAGACCAAGAGACTGAGGGAAAGATGTACAAGAACCCCAGAAGGAGCAGGCCTCAGGGACTGCCAAAGAATCAAGAACCCAGAGAACAGTATGCTCAGCCTTCTATCTCTCTCTTTCTCTCTCTCTCAATCTTCCTCCATGCTTCCCACAGAATTTCAAAGTGGAGTATGCCATCCCACTGACCCAGAGTTTATACCATCTCTGCTCTAGTCACAAGAACGAACTATGTGGCTTTCTGTGAATCAATATCAAATTCCAAGACAGGATATTTGACCCTTGTTCCAATCACCTATCAAGAAGGAGGTTGGACAAGTGAGAGTAGACATTCTAAAAGAAAGGGAGTTTTTTAAACTGAGCAGACACCCTACAATGTCAATGTCAGCCAATTTTTTGAAATTGAAACTGGATCACAGCAGTGGCTAATGGGGCTCTTGGTAAGCAACATAGATTGAGAATGAATTTTATCTTGATTAATGAATGGCAATCAACTAATTTTGTAATATACTCATTACAAAAAATAGCCAAATAGGAAGGTATAAAAAGAACAGAATAAATGAATTCATTTATAATAAAGAAAAATAAAGTGACTTTATACATAATATTTTGCCTCATGGACAACTTTACCTGGCTTAAGTCATTGTTTACAACTCTGATTCTTTTTTTTTTTTCTTTTGAGACAGCTTCACTCTTGTTGCCCAGGCTGGAGTGCAATGGTGTGATCTCAGCTCACCGCAACCTCTGCCTCCTGGGTTCAAGCAATTCTCCTGCCTCAGACTCCCGAGTAGCTGGGATTACAGGCATGTGCCACCATGCCCAGCTAATTTTGTATTTTTAGTAGAGATAGAGTTTCTCCATATTGGTGAGGCTGATCTTGAACTCCTAACCTCAGGTGATCCGCCCACCTCGGACTCCCAAAGTGCTGGGATTACAGGTGTAAGCCACCACGCCTGTCTGCGACTCTGAATCTTAATACCATTTTGTGGCAATTACTTGTCTAGCTTTTTCCCCCTTTCCTATCTCAGGATAAAGGGGTCTGTCATTGTAAAATGAAGCTCTGTTTTGTGGAGAGTAGCAATCTAAATACAAGAATTTTGTGTCATAATACTCAATGTAGTGACGTTTTCCCTTTTTTCCTATGATACTATTTTAATAATAAAAGTAAATATGTTTATTGCATAATGTTTGGAATAGAGAATCATATAACAAAGGAAATAAAATCATTCATAATCAGGTATAGTGATTTTTAAAACAAAAATGATTTTAATCTAATTCTAGGTTTAGAAGCATTAAACAGACAAATGAATGTTCTTAGATTTTTAGAATCCAATCCCCTGTGTGGTAATAAGAGACATTTGATTGGATAAAAACGCCTTCAAGTATTGACAGCCTACTGACTGATGCGTTTTACTATTGCCCAATGCAGCACAAACCCTTGGTATGTAGGTGCTGCCTTTGTAAATATATCAGCTGCTGAGTGTATTAAAATGCCCTGAATTAATCAAGTGTGACTGATGATCTTAATTGATGGGGGAGACACAGTAACCTTTTTCTCAAAGCAACTACATCATGTAATTACAGAGGAAACTGTATAGCATTTGTTAGTTAGACTAGACACCTCTAATGACATTATCCAAGCAAAGGGTATTATTATCCCCCATTTTAAGATTTAAAAATCTGAGACAAATATCAGTTAAATAGGTAACAGCTCCAAGGTCATACAAAAGAATTAAGAGCAAAATCAGACTTTAGGTCTCTTTAACCCTAAACTCTATGTGTTAACCTCTACAACCCACAAACTTTCTGACTGATTAGGTTAAGTTTATGTAGAAAGAAATAAAATATTTATAACTGGTTCCAACTTTTATATATTTCTGGGGTTACTTAAAGATGCTGAAGATAAATTAACTCTAGAATGTAGCTCCATTGCTGAAATAAATAAATAAATTTGATGAGTTGTAGTATGGGCATGAAATGCCATCTGAAGTTAAAGAAAATAGGAGAAATAAGTCACTTAGAAGAAAAACTGTTTTTACATAAAATCAGCATCCAGTTTTGATAAGAATCAAAGCTATTTTAATTTGTGCTTTTCAATGAAAATAGAAATAATCTCATCATGATCAAATCAAATATAATATAGATTAAAATAAGCATAAGCATAGCCAGAGTATTGAGGGCAGATCACTTACTTTTTGTATAACAACAAAGCTATTCAAATTAGAAATCAAATCATATATATTAAATTAAAAATATATTTACTAATAATTTCCTTGGACAGTATTTTCAGGTTAAAAGGCTTAAATTTGTTTCTGAGATTAGCTCTTTATTCTTAAAAAGCAGGTGTTAACATTGTTTATTATTTATTATTTTTCCCATTTTAAGATGAAGAAAATAAATGAGGTTTAGTCAACTGTCCCAAGTCACACAACAAGTACGGAGCCATCTCACTATACTTCATATGGTGTTGATACCTATGTCAAATTGCAGTGTTTTCTAGGAATAAGTCAGATGAATAAGACATTATTAAGTGTTCTCCAACTTTTGTAATCAAAGTGTTTTCTTAATCACAGTTGTAGGAAGGGCCCAAAAGCTTAGAAAGAGCCGTGTGTGTGTGTGTGTGTGTATGTATATATGTATGTATATGTGTATATATGTTTGTGTGTGTGTGTGTATATATATATACACACACACACAAATATGTATATGTGTATATATATGGGTATATGTATCTATGTGTATATATATGGCTATATATATATATATATATACACACACACACCCATATATAATGGAAAAGAAAATAGTGAGTTTGAACTAATTGGTCCTCCCATCACTGTGCCAATCTCTGAAGCTCCTCAAGAATACCTCAAGAATAGTTTAAGAATATTTCACATAATTTATAATTTGATTTGTTGTAATTTTTATCTTTTGTTTTAAGTGAGAGAAAAAAAATATACAAACAGACAATGGCCAAACATAAAAAAATGGAGCTCTGACCCACAATATGAGCACCCAGCCCAGGAAACCAACCCATTATCTATAGTAACCAGCCCAGGAAGCCTGCCTACTCTCTAGAAGTCAGACTTACAAGAAGTCAGACCACTGTCTCTAACAACCAGACCTGAAAGCCAAATAGTAACTCCTGTAATAATTAACTGGCAGTTTACCTAATTTATTCCCTGTTTCAAGTTTAAGACCAGCTACAGAAAGCCAAATATGTACTCCCTAAGCAATTACATAGGAAGTCCCACTTCTAGTTACGCTACCTTCATCAGGATAAGAGATTAGGATTAGGGGCTGTTCCTGACAACAGCTCCTAATCAGGACACACCTGAAGTCTTCCCTCTATTCCACTATAAAGCTTTCTTGTTACTCTTGCCTGCCTTTGAATCTCTGCCAAAATACAAGTGATGGTGGCTGACTCCTTTGCTATAGCAAACTGAATAAATAGCCTTTTTTTCATGTAGTGGGTCTTTTAAAAAACATTCTCCATAAAAAAGCTTTATTATTTGTATAAAAATGATACACAATTACTATTTTTAAGAAAACTTCAAGCAATACAGGAGAAAACAAAAATCTAACCACCCAAAGATAAACACCAAAACTATTAGGTGAGCATAATAGCAGATACATATTTTTGTCTACAGATAAACAAAAGAATGAATGGGTAGATAAATGAATGAAAATGATTTTTATAAAATGGCATCCAGAAATATATTCTATTTTAAATGAAATGTATTGAATTAATTTTATTATAATAAAAACAAACTCAAATGAAAATAAACAGTTGAGCATCCAATAATCATTTCTTCCGAAAACATATATGTAAATATGTTTATATTTACATACGTGTGTATATATACATATATTTATATAAGTGTAACTTATATGTGTATATATACACACACATAAATATATGTATGTATACACATATATACACAGATATTTATAAAACAAATATATATATTTGTTATGAATAGATTTTTCTGAAGGTAAGTAAAATATTGTGAAAAATAAGATGTGGCAAATCATTTTTTTGAATTCAAGACTTCAAGTTTAAATAGTACCAAATTCCTGCATTCTATGAAGAATAGGAAAAATTTGTATTTACATTTCTCATTCCTCCATTTTCCTTTACTTTCTTATATTGGTTATTTATATTAGCATGTTTGTTCTGTCAAAATTGGTAATATTTACATTATTTTATATAAAAACATAATGGCTGACATTTATTGAAATCTGCAGATTCCAATCATTACTCTAAGGCTGCTTGCCTGCCTTCCTTTCTCCCTCCCTTCTTTTTTTAAATTTCTTTGTTCTTTCCTTCCTTCTTTTTCTTGTTTTTTTTCTTTTTGTATTTTTTTTTTTTGAGACGGAGTCTCACTTTGTAGCCCAGGCTGGAGTGCAGTGGTGCCATCTCAGCTCACTGCAACCTCCGCCTCCTAGGTACCAGCAATTCTCCTGCCTCAGCCTCCCGGGTAGCTGGGACTACAGGCACACGCCACCATGCCCAGCTAATTTCGTATTTTTTAAGTAGAAACAGGGTTTCACCATGTTGGCCAGGCTGGTCTCGAACTCCTGACCTCAGGTTATCCACCTGTCTCGGCCTCCCAAAGTGCTGGGATTACAGGCGTGAGCCACCGCGCCTGGCCCCTTCTTTTTCTTTAATCTGAGAGCTGGCCCATACTCATTTTTGGCTTACAACATATTATATTTCTTGGCTTGTTCAGGCTTCTTATATTTATCATGTAATTTAATATTCACCAGGATCCTTTCAGGCAAGTATTATTTTCCCATCTTACAGATAAGAGAACTGAGATACCAAGTGGTTGAGTAATTGTCCAACATACATTTAATAAGCAATGGAGCCACATTTTAAACCCATTTCAATCTGTTATCAGAGTTTGAACTCTTAATTTCTGTAGAATAGCCATAGTTCCACAGTTGTTTGGGTTTATTTTTATCTTTAAGTGGATTTATATGGTTTGGATTTGTGTTTCCCCCCAAATCTCATATCAAATTTTAATCCCCAATGTAGGAGGAGGGACCTGGTAGGAGGTGACTGGATCATGGGGGTGGATTTCCCTCTTGCTGTTCTTGTGATAGTGAGTTCTCATGAGATCCGGTTGTTTAAAAGTGTGTAGCACCTCCCTCTGATCTCTCATTCTCTTGTTCTGTCCATGTAAGACGTTTCCTGCTTCCCCTTCACCTTCAGCCATGATTGTAAATTTCCTGAGGCCTCCCAAGCCATGCTTCCTGTACAGCCTGTGGAACTGTGAGTCAATTAAATCACTTTTCTTTATAAATTACTCATTCTCAGGTAGTTCTTTATAGCAATGTGAGAACAGACTAATACATGGACCCACTGCTTACTTCCAGTACCTTACTATGTTTCTCCATTTCTGGATTCTTTATTTTGATTCAGTTCTTGGTTTGCTGCATTTTATTGCATTGCATTGAAAGACATTTTATAAAAGTTCAGAGACATTGCATTCCTTTATTTGCTTCTTAATGTCTAAGAATATTTGTGAGTTGTTTTTCTACTCCAAGAAATATGAGTCTGGATATGAAATACTTGAGTCATTTTTATTTCCCTTTGGACTTTATATACTTTTCTCAACTGTTCCTGCTTCATTAATAGTTTTATTAGAAATTTTCTACTCATATTTTAGTTTTCCAAACTCAAAAATTATAGTTCTAGAGTTTCTTTTTTCCCAAGAACAACTCTTGAGGACTTTATACCTTGTGTTTACTCATTATTAAAAATTTCTGCCAGAAACTTCTATACTTGAATATCACCTCCCTTGATAATTAGCTTTGGGTCACAGCTCTGAACATTTGAATTTATTGTCTCTGGCATTGAATATTGCTATAGAGTAAATGTGGCTTGATTTTTTTGACTGTTATATTTTGTGTTTTTTTTTAAATCCTGCCTGTGTATTTGAGGTAATCTTTTTTACTTTTAGATGTTGAAAAATTTAATCAGAATATATCTTATGTTGATCATTTTTTTTGGATTTGCCTGACCACACTGGACCTTTTAACTTTGAATATGCTTTTTATTCTACTTGTTAGGTTCTCTGAGGAACACAAATTTCCCAATGATTTTTCTTTTTCTATCTTACCTGTATAGTATATTCTAACTGTTTTGTTCTCTTCTCCAATTTGCTCTGCATATTATTAACTCAAATCTTTCTTCTTTAATAGTAAATTGTTTGGTGTTTATAATTCATTTATTGGCTCTGTAATTTTTCTTTTAATTGAATATTGTTAATAGTTTCGTTTTTGAGCTATTTTTTATTATGTGTGTATTTTATTGTGTTCTTTGATAGCTTAGTACATTCAAAGAGAATATTCTTATTTCACTTGAATTATTCTTTCTTCCAGACTTGGTTCTTCATTTTGTTACAATATAAAATTTATATTAATTCAGTTGTGTTCATTTTCATTTATTTGTGCTTGCCATGGGTAGCTTTGCCAAGATCTTCTGTTTGCTCTAATATAATATAGATAAATTAGCTTTGATCCTCTTCCAGTCAACTCAAAGACTATTCTTCCCACCACCCGCATGTTCCCTGAACTCCTAACTAGCCGAGCTATTGCACCAAAGTGATTTCTTTTCCTTCCTTTTTCCCTCCCTCCCTCCTTTCTTTCTTTCTTCCATTCTCTCTTTCTTTTTTCTTTTCTTTTTTTTTTAACCTTAGAGTACAAGCATGGAAAGAGAAGGGTAACAACTTATTAGTTCCTTATATTGCAGTTTGCTTTGACAAGAAACTAAAACATTCATTATTTGCTTTTTCTTCTGATATGTTCTCAAATATCCTGTACTATCGTTTCATTTCACTTGGTTGAAGGTATATCCTATTTTTCTGGTAGAATACCCTAAGCCTTCAGTCAATTCATTCACATCAAAATGTAACTTTGGAAAATTCTGTTCTTGCTCCTGCTCACTCATCCAGCATGGCATTTACTCTTAAGAATTTGCCTAGCCTGTTTTTTTCTACATTCCTACGTATCCTTTAGTCTACTTTTTGTCAAATTAGAGATATCAGTGAAAGCCTCAAGATTTGGAATACTCACCTTCTTTCCACAAAATGTCTGTCAATGAGCAATAATGGTAGTAAGTTTTAGAATCTGCACACACTGTACCAAAATTTTCTAATTGCTTCTGTGGGCTACTGTTTTTCAGTGTAATAATATTTGCTGCTTTTGAACTTTTTTCTTTCTTGCCTTTTTTTTTTTTTGGCTTTTTTCTACTTTGTATGTATCTTTTTTAGGTGTACAAAGGGAGAATGTGTAACATTAAGCACCAGGAGCACCAAATGGGAGGGGTATGTAAACTGTTGAGGGCAATGGTCACTAACTATTGAGTCGGGAGTAGAGGACTCTGTGAGAGGTACAGAGTTTTTGAAAGAATTTGCAACTGCATATGGCCTCCAAAAATTGTCTGCTGGCTGAATAAAAATAGCACTTATTGAATTACTATATTTCAAATGAATTCAGGTGCTATTTTTTTTTATGGTGAATAAAATAGAAAGTAATTTAAATGCATTACTGAATTCTTTATAGCTCTTTGTCATTATGTATATAGGTGAGGCAATATAGTAGTATTAAGAGGCTGTAGACAGAATGCCGTGTCATACTGCAACCTTGAGAAAGTTATTTAACTACTACAGTAAGCGTCACTGTAAAATGAAATAAAAATAGTATTTACCTCATACGGTCATTATGAGGCTTAAATAAAATAATACATGCAAAGCATTTGGCACAGCACCTGACACCTTATCAGCACCCAATTTTAGCTTCTACAGTTGCAATCCATGGATACTATCATATGAGGATCTAATGATTAGCTAGAAAGAGATCTTCTCATTTTAATGTTGTAAATTACAGCAGGGCAAGATCAGCTTGAATCTGTGGACATGACTTATCTGCTTCTATTAGGTTAAGCCACATAAATGCTACAAACTGGAAGAAAATGTATTAAGTATTCCTACAGAGAAACAAGTGTGATGTCAGTTTAGCATGTAGCATGCATTTGGATGCATTAGATGTCACAGCTTGATTTCCACAAGAAGCAGATGCTGACACGAAGAATGGCAGGAAGAACTTTATTTGGAAGGCTCTCAGGATCAACACTTGTGAAGGAAAAGGGAAAAAAGCGGGATTGGGCCGATGTAGAAGTTGGGCTTTGATACCAAGAAAGCCACAACTGTTCTGCACAGGGAGCTTGAAAGTTACGATGGCCCACCAGAGTATTCCCAAGTTGTGAAAAAGAAAGAGGTGGACCTTTATATTCCCATATTGACCAGTCATCAGTTGCAGGCTGCCTCTGAAGAAACAGACACATCTTAGCTTGATGTATTTCTCTTTTTTTTTTCTCCCTAGCTGAGACTAATTTCTGTCGAGGGCTGAAAACCATTCGGCAGTGGGCAGCGTTTCTAGCAGCTGGGGGCATAAGTTCTTCAGATCTGAAGAGGGATCTGGGTGTGCACAACAGAGTCCACTGCATTAGTTATGGCATGTTCCTTAAAAGTCATATATTCCTGGCTCACAATAGTTCTGTAATACCATTCAGAATAAATTCTAGAACCAGTTTACTACCTGCAGTTTTAAAAAAAATCCATCTAATTACCATTTTTATTATATATTCTGAAGTAATGAAGAAAAGATATTGAAAAATATTAATGCATTCTCTGTTGAGAATGTATTTTGATATGTTATTGCATATAGGCATTTAAAATGCACATCTATTGCATTTAAACTGATCAGTCCTGACCATCTATGTTTTAAAGACTATATATACATATATACCTGTATACATATATAAATACGTGTGTGTGTGTCATTATCTGCACATATATATATATTCAGACCTGTTTTGTGAGCAAGTTTGATTTTTACACATTCATGTGAGTGATATTTTTCCAGGGTCAGTATCAGGCACTTTGGGAAATATAAAGAATAAGAAGCACGCCAGACTTTAAAAAGCTAAAGGAAGATAATATATGTGCACAATAATTATTTGTAGCAGTCCACTTTAAAGAGTTATGTGGCCTGACATGAACATGACAGGATAGGCAGAATAGTGGTGTAGTCCAGAGCACAGTGTCAGGTCAGGCTGCTTGGGTTCAAATACCAGCTCTGCCACCTCCATGCTCTGTGACATTAGGCAAGGTATTTGACCTTTCTGTGCCTCACTTTTATTATCTTTAAAATGGGTTTAATAATACCTATACCCTAGAGTTGTTATGAGGGTTACATGAGCTGACATATGGCTATGATCTATGTCTGTGATCCAGTGCAAGATCTAGTCTATGATACAGTACAAGAAACATAATTTTATTTTTCTTGTAAAAATCATATCAGTGACCTATCAGGTAGGACCCTTCCCTACCTGATAAAAATAAAATTGAAATTCATGTTTTTATGGGAAACCTAGGGTCCTGAAAGAATCACAGTACTTAAAGAGCATTTGAAGAATAGCCTTTGGGTCTGCAGTATATACTAGTCACCACTGTTACCTATCCTTTGTCTGCCTCCATCAAAGGGGCATTTAGATTTTGGCTGATTCCAAGGGCTGCAGTCTCTAGTCCCTGACCACTACAGGTATATCTTGCTATCATTTTTATCTGAGACCCACTTTATTAGTGCATTCTCACATTGCTATAAAGAACTACCTGAGACTGGGTAATTTAAAAAGAAAAGAGGTTTAATTGGCTGAAGGTTCTGCAGGCTATACTGAAAGCATGGCTTGGGAGGCCTCAGGAAACTTACAATTATTGTAGAAAGTGAAGGGGAAACAGACACATCCTATATGGCCAGAGCAGGAAGGAGAGAGAGAAGGAGGAGGTGCTACACTTTTAAACAACCAGATTTCATGAGAAATCACTCACTGTTATAAGAACTGCAAGGGGGAAGTCTGTCCCCATGATCCAATCACCTCCCACCAGGCCCCCCTCATCCTCAACAGCGGGGATTACAATTAAACCTGAGATTTCAGTAGGGACACAAATCCAAAACCATAGCAGCTGCCATCTCCCTGGCTGTAGAAGATGGAGCAACACACCGTTTCACCATTGCTTGTGAACTTCCTAGACTCCAACTCTACTATTCGCTGGAAAAACTCTCTCAATACCCTTCTCCAAAAGCTAATTCACTACCTTTCCCAACCCTGAAATCTCTTCTCTCAGATCATCTAATTCCATATTCTCTTATGAGCCTCGATTTTTGAAAAAAAAGTCCAGATTGCAACTGATCTTTTGAGTACACTTGCATTTTTTCCCATTTCTGGGAAAAGGGAAGACAAAAACATTGCTATCTTCTAAGACACAGAACTGTAAATTATTTACAGCAGTGACAAGAAAAGGCAAATTAATATCCCAATGCATTTTTCTACCACACACAGATTACACTATGTGAAATATGATGCATATCTTTCTATTTAACTTATAGTTGCAATATAATATAAAACCCATTGCCTGTGTGAGTTTGAAATAGAGTTTCAAGAGCTGCAAAATTTGAAAGTGGTAACTTTAGCAATCTGCTGTTAGCAAGGAGTGAAATATCAAGAGCAACCTTTTTTTCCCACCCTTTCTCTTATATCTGTTTATCAAATTTTCCACAGATCACAGGTGTTCAGTTTTTTATTGGAAAAGCAAGTGCATTCTTTGAAATTATATTGCTCCCACACCTATATCCCATTTCCTAAGCATTTTCTGCAGTCTATTAAGATGTTCAGATATGCTTCTGTCAAAATGATGCTGTTTCATTCCCAGAGATAGAATACTGAGCAGGCTGAATGTGCACTCAAAGGAAGTAAGTGTTTTATTGGGTGATAGGAAGTGAGGGACCCTGCAAAATCATGTTTTTGAAGACAGTTATAACATCTAATGAAATCTTGAACTGCCCAGATACTGCTCAAGTGGAAATAAGTTGGAAAATGATGACAATGTTTAGATATAGCAGAGAGGAGTATTCTTAATAGAAAAGACATGATGGAATCCTAAATATTTAGCTGTACCTTACAATGTGATTGTCACACCAAATACCTTGGTGAGCACTTGAAACATTGTATTAAAATAAAATTCTCTTATAAGTTTCCTAAAGATTTTCTTCAGAGAGATTATTTTTAGAAAGAACTTATTGGATGCTACTAGGGGAAATACTGTTCTTATTAGTCTCTGGTCATAACATACTCAGTAACCTGTTAATACATAACTGTTTTGTGTGTGGGTTTCCATCTAAAGACACCTTATTTAATACATATTTTCCATTCATTTACATTGAAATAGCAACAGCATCATACCTCATGCCTCAGCAAAGCTAATCTAACACATGTGTTTTCTTCATAAGGCACATCACAGCCTACTTAGACTTAGAAGCATTAGATAGAACTTCAGCATTATTCTTTGGGGCCATTTTAAACAGTAAAATCACTAGCAAAAAGTACAAAAATGCAAAAACCATTGTACTAAATAGACTGCAAAAGGGACACTTATTTATAGCATGAGAACTTAAACAGTAAGGCAGCTCATTGCTTTACTTGACCTCAGCTTGGAACATACGCATTGGGTGACAAATTTTTTGCCACACTGTGCATGTCCATGAATAACCATGAAGGCAATGCATGTATTAATATTGGGCATACAAGTAAATATTAGTGAGCAGACAACTTAAACATAGAATCCATGAACAATAAGGATCCACTGTACTTGGAAATAAATATTTATTGGGTCACCAGTGCCTTAAAGGAAGCAACATAACCACAATTTCTTAGAGGTTGAGTTATTTGAATATTTCAAGGTATTTTAGATCGGGTCATAATTATTTAGTTAGAACACTAATATTGAGATCAATCTTACCATTTTATGCATAGGAAAGATCAATCTTATCACGTTATATATAAGAAAGATAAACTCTAGAGAGGTAAAGCAGCTTTTTCAAAATTGCATTGTAAGTCATACAGTGGCAAAACAGGACCAACATCTCTTGATTCTAAGCCTGTTTCTCTTTCTACTACACCACTCCATGTAATAATGTATGTGCACTTTTAAAAATGCATTCTGCATTGTAGAGTGCAGAGATTGACATTGTATCAATGATTATGCCAATTTCTTTTCTGAATTCATCTTTAAAAAGTGGGAAGTTCAGCAAAGCAAAAGCAATGAGTATTGATAGTCAATCCTGACAATTTCACTATTTTCAGTGGCAAATCTCTGAGTTTAATTTTTATGGCTAATCATATCACAGATTCACCATACCCATAGAGGTATATGCTGTCTACATTTACACAATTTTTAGTCTTCAGCAAGTAGTATGAGTAAAGTCAACCAAGATGATTTTTAAATGGATTGTTAAAATGATAAAACTAAATTTAAAATATTTTATAGTAATATGTGGTATCAAAAACTAGACTTCCATTTTCTAACTTATATTTTGTACTGTGTGTTCATTAGGATCCAGTCCAAAGTGCCTTAGAAAACTCAAATAACTCAACTTCTGAAGGAAAAAACTATGGTTATATTAACTTCTATAAAGTACTAGTGATCTTAGAGGTGTTTGATAAAACAAAGTGATGAAGAGCATAAAGTATATCTACTTTAAAATTAGTGATAGTTTCAATAGTGCCAGGCTTATTCTAACATAGATGACAGAAAAATAGATAGAAATATAGGTATCTCAAATATTAAAACATATCTAATAATTTTAATAACATATTTCACTGGAATGTCTCTACACCCAAGACAACTGACATTTTTATCTGTGGGATTAATGATTTTCAATTTGTTCTCAAATTGCTACAGTAACCAGTGATCAAATTTTAATATTCCATTGAGTTAAAGTCACTAATTATTTAAAAAGGGCAGAGGGAGAGAATTCTATTAAAGAATTGGTTTGTGAGACTTGAGCTATATTCTGGAGAAGTCATAAATATCTCTTTGTTAGTGTCTTCTTTCAAATTTGACTACAAGTGTAAATGGGTTCTATTGCTTTCTCTAATGATTTGGCATGGATCATTAACTGTCCTAGGACTTTAAATATTTCTTCCACTAGGAAATTGAGGATATAACTGATAGACTGCTGCCCAAGAGCCAAAGGGCCTGGAGACAAGAGACTTACTAACTTGTTGAGGGAAATTCTGTTTGAAGATAGTAGTGAGTAGGTAATGAATAATTATTCATTTTACTTAAAGCCATGATTATTAATTCAAGCACAATGAGTGATTTTTTTAAAGAGCTGTGTTGCAAAAATAAGTTACAGTAATAATGTAGAGGTTGAAGTAAAGAGGCCAGATTTAGAGTTAATAATTTGATGATCATAAAATCTTAGATCCTATTCCCTACAGCATAAATGTTGGCAAAACCTAGTGTCTTGCTAAATGAGAGCTACTCACCATTCCAACTTCTGGTTAAAATACAGACCAATAATATGTTTCAAAACCATATTGAATTTTATTCCTGAATAACTTTAGTAATTCTTATTTTAATTACTAAAAACAAAATTTACACAAATTAAAATAATCTCAAAAATGGGTGAACGAAATTAATATCCTGGCAAAGAAAGAGCATGGGCTTTGAAGTCAGGCAAAATTCACTACCAGACTGGTTTGTCTTTTGATTTCTCCAGGCTTCCTCTGTAAATCTGGGCAACAATCTCTACATCACAGTGTGGTTATGAAATCTAAATGAAATAATGTCTATAAAGTACTTGGCACATGTATGTCATCTATTGCTACATTAAAAAATTACTCTTAAATTTAGTGGATTAAAACAGTGAAGATGTGTTATCTTGCTGTTTATGGGTCAGAAATCTGGGCCTGGTTTAGCTGAGGGCGTCTGGATTAAGTTCTCTCAGGAGGTTGCAGCCAACTGTTGACTGAGTCTGAAGTCTCACCTGAAAATGTTACTGGAGGAAGATTTTCCTTCAAGTGTGTTCATGTGGGCCTCTATTCCTTAGAGATGTTTGATTATGGGCCTCATTTCCTTGCTAACTGCTTACTGGGGGTTTCCCTCAGTTTCTCTTCACGTGGATCTTTTCACTGCACTGCCTGATGACATGGAAGGTGACCTCCCCAAGGAAAGAGAGAGAGCATCTAATCTAATGTGAGAAGTGATATCCCACCACTTGTGCCTAATTTGATTCATTAGAAGTTGATCAATAAATCCCACTCAAGAGCAGGATGTGACAACCAAGAGGTGAGGTTTCATGTACCACTGCATTGGACCAGGCACAGTGCTGAGTTCTCACAGATATGATCTACATTAATAACTCACTTCCTAAGTGGACAAATTCCTGTTGTTTTTTTTATGTATACCCTGACCACAACAATTATGATATTAGCAATCTTTAAATTGAGCTTTTTATGTGCAAAGCAGTGTTTTCAGTGTTTTTATAAATTTTGAACTAATTTAATCCTTGCAAATTATCATGCTTCTTTTACAGACAAGAAAATAAAGTTACAGAGAAATTATGTAATTTGCCCATAGTCACAGAGCTATTAGGTGTTACACCTGTCATATGAACTTAGGCATTTCCAAAGCCTAGAATCTTAAACATTATGCTATACTACCTCAAAATCAATGGCCCTTAACCTTTAAGGGTGTTGGACCTTTATTATGAATCTGATGGCAACTAAAAGCCCTTTTCTAGAAAAATATACAGAGGTACATTTTTCATATGATTGTAGGGGGTTCTCAGAAACCCTGAATTCCACAGATGGATGCCTGATTTAGAACCCCTGTGTATAACTGTCCAACTTGGATAAAATTCAGTAAAGCCTAGATTTTTACATAAAACAAGCTGGTACAGTGAGAAAGAAGTAGGTTGGGAGTCAGTAGAATTGGGTTTGGATTCCACTTCAATGGGCAAGTCATTCAACTTGAAACCACAGTTCTTTTATGTATAAAATGGCCACAAATAAGTACAATGTTGGTGGGAATGTAGATTGATACAGCCATTATGGAAAATATGGAGGTTCCTGAAGAAGTTAAAAATAGAACTACCATACAACTCAGTCATTTCTTTTCTGGGTGTATACCCAAAGGAGATGAAATCACCACCTTGTAAAGAAATCCACACTCTCAAGCTTATTATAACATTATTCACAATAGCTAACATATGAAAACAACCTAAATGTCTGTTGATGGATGAGTGGATAAAGGAAATGTGGCATACATATAATGAAATATTATTCAGCCTTAAAAAGGGAGATTCTGCCATTTGCCACAACATGGATGAATCTGCTTGGACATAGACATTATGCTAAATAAAGTAAGCCAGACTCAGAAAGAAAAATATTGCATAATCTCACTTACAAGTGAAATATAATTTTTCTTAAAAAAAGCTCATATATACAGAGATAGAAAATGAAACAGGTTACAATGGACGGGGAAGGAGGTTGGGGGAGAGGAGATGGGGAGATATAGGTCATGTGATGCAAAAGAGTAGCTATTTAGGAGGAACAGGTTTAGACATCTAATGTATAATATGAGACTAAAGTTGATAAGATCGTATTAAGGGTTTTCATTAAATAAATAGATTTTAGTGACTTTTGTCACAAAAAAGGAATTATGTGAGATGATAGATACGTCAATATACTTCACTATAATAATCATTTTACTATCCATAGGTATTCCATCACGTCATGTTGTAAACCTCAATACACAATAAAATTTATTTTTTCGAAAGAAAAAATATATTTTGAAAAAAATTGACACAATAAGCTTTTCTCCATGTAAGCATTAACGTACACTGAGTGTAAAAGCCCACGTATATTATCTTGTTCCAAGCACTACTCCAGGTGTCTTCCTTATAGCATCTCAATTAATACTTACATATCCTCCCCTCTTCTCTGCAAGATAGATAGTATTTTAACCCTGTTTAAGAGATGAGTAAACTGAAACACCAAAAGATTAAGTACCTTGTCTAAGGTCACATGCTAAATGGCAGGGTCAGAATTTGAAGAAAGGCAATCTGACTTGGAAGTCCATATTCTTCAATGCTATACACTGTCACCCCCCTGGGGCTACTACAAGAATAGGGTAAATACGCATACATGAAAACACTCTATAAGTGGCAAAGTGCTAAAATATCCCATATGTATAGTTGAAAGAGAAATGGAGTTGATTTACATCACAATCATATAACTTCACAGCTGTGTGACCCTGAACAAGACACTTATTTCATTGGGCCTCTGCTTCTTCAACTGTGCAAAAGAACAAATAAAAAATGTGATGCCTATAGGGAGGTACTTAGTAAACTGATAAACTATTAAATGAACATAAGTTCTTCTCATATATATTTATATTTCATCTGATTCAATTGACAAAGTTCTTTAGAATGGATAAATAACATTTCAGCAAAACAAAACCTTGAGTTTATTTTATAAAGAATAATTTCTAGAAAGTGGTAAGCCCAGCTACATTGCTATTATCTCTTATATTTAAATCTCTCTATACGGAGGGCAGTTTAAATCTTTGAAAATCTGTTTGGTTTCCTTCTTAAATTTTTCCTCATTTGCCATCACAGAGAACACTTTTTTTTTTCTTTTAAGATAGGGTTTCACTCTGTCACACAGGC
Organism: Homo sapiens; assembly: GCF_000001405.40. Classification (NCBI taxonomy): domain Eukaryota; kingdom Metazoa; phylum Chordata; class Mammalia; order Primates; family Hominidae; genus Homo; species Homo sapiens. The sequence continues at coordinate 30,073,006 of NC_000011.10, read as the reverse complement.
TGGAGTGTAATGGTGAGATCATAGCTCACTGCAGCCTCGAATTCCTGGGTTGAAGTGATCCTCCTGCCTTGGCCTCCCAAAGTGCTGGGCTTACTGCTGTGAGCCACTACACCTGGCCAAGAACAATTTCTAATCCTATTTTTTTTATTTTAAAACACACTGAATAGCTAAATGCCACTTAATATGGAAACCGGATTTCAGTTTGCTATATGACGAAGCTTCACTACACATGTATTAAAAAGGCAGCATGTGTATTGTTGAGTGTTGACAATGGGCTCAGGCTGCCAAGGTTCAAATCCCAACTCTATCACATATAGTCTTTGTGACCTTAAGCAAGTAGCTTAACTGCTTTATACCTGCTTGTACATCTGTAAAAATGGAGGGTAGTAATAGTAACCTCACAGGATTGTGATGTGGGTTAAATGAGTTTTGTTCATGAATTATTTAGAACAGTGCTTACCACTTATTAAATATTCACTAAATATGAGTTATTATTATATTTGTATGATTTGAAATTTCTTCTCTTTCCATATCTCGTTTTCATATTCATAAAGTGGGAACACTGTTACATTTTATTTCTGGTTAGGATTATAGTACATTCTCAATTTGCCTAGAGAATGTTTTAAGCTCTGTAGGTGCTATGGATCTACAAAGGGTAACTGTTGTTCCATTTTTAAAAAGGAAAAGGTAATTACTATGTGGTCTTTTTTTTTCAGAAGGAGCATTAGTCAACACGGTTTTGTTTTGTTTTGTTTTTGTTTTTGTTTTCTTAGCACACACAGAGGTGGAAGCTACTGTGGCATGATTCAAATGACGTAGAAAGCTCAATTCTGGACTGAATTAGAATGTTTTTCCCATATCGGAATTTTTGTAACTGCAATAGGAGAGCAGGAGAGTGTCAGTTTCTATGTGGAAAAGAGAGCCTTTTATAAGAAACACACAGTATTTTCAATAGAGTACACAAAGAATCTGTTTTAAACTGCCTCTCCCCTTAAAAAAGTGAAACCACATATTTTTCTTTGCATGCTATGTCTACAACGGCCCTCTCCTTTATAGGTAGTTTAAAGGTATGCCAGGAACCTCCCAGAACAGCTTCTCACCAAGCCCATTTCTAGTTTTGTTCCCTGGTAGGAAGCAGCAAAGCTTACAAGCTTTGTATACGAATTATTTAGAACAGTACTTTCGGATGAGGGTTTTTCCCCTATCACCACTGGGGACTATCTGAGCCCTCTTATTGCCAAACCGTCACCTCATAACATTGACTGAGACTGGCTCAAAGGAAAAGTCTATTTGAGTTTATAAAATAAATAGCTATCTGTTAGTAAAAGATTGTGACTAATAGAATCCTGTCATTAGCAAAACTCTCATTTAATTAAAGAAGCAAAAGTTTCTATGAAAGCAACCTCCTCTTCCCAACATGTCAAATTTAAAATCAAGCAGAAAAGGATGCTTAGGATTTTTGCTAGTTGAACGCAACTGAGCTGTGAGCCTTATTTAACAGGATTCCTGATCTGCTATGCCAGACTCAGGTGAACTCCAAAGAATGGACAGGGAATATATGCTTATTAGGATACATATTGGGGGAAATGCAGAGGGGAGCTGGGGGAGAATTGTAGCATTCTGAATGCAGAATGCACCCAGCCTATCAGGGAATAAGGGTTAAAAGTCTCCACATGCCTGAGTGAAATGAAACCTGGAAGAGTTTAGAACCAAGGTTCCTGCTATGTGTCTCTAATGGGTCAAGAAAACCCCATAGCAGAGACCAAGAGAAGTCCAAGACACAGCCTGAGTGTAAGTAGAGCAGAGTCTTAGATCTCAGTCATGTCAGTGAAGACAGAGCCATGACCCAAGTAAACAAGGATTGGGAGGGGAGATGGAAAAGGTTTCTGAGTAAAATTATTATCTCTATTCCTTAAAATGGGCAATAGGCACCAGCCATGGACACCAACAGAGCCATTGGTTTCCTCACATGAGGATGATAAGTAATTATGCTAGAAATTTAGATAATCTCCCAAGAGAAAGGGGGAGAGAAGAACTCTAAATTTGGCTACCTAAAATAAAATGAGTTTAGATTGGAAGTGTTTAAGTATCAATAGGTAAAACTAAACTTTTGCCTTCTAAGCACAAGAGGCAAATTTTTATCCGCACAGCTAAATTTGGTGTAATAGGCTCCATCACGGAGGACAAGAAATAAGAGGAGGAGTGTTCACCTCCATGTGGGGAGAACCAAAGGGTACAGAGAAAGGAATTTTGAAATTAATGCACTGTAGGTTCTTAAGGCAAAAGTCCTCTAACTTTCATTTCTATCTTCTCTCCTTACTTTGAGAGAGGGCTGGGAAAACAGTTACTAGGGCCAGCTTGGGTTTGGAAGCCCTGCTTAAAGTTTTGCAAGGCCTGGAATGGACTTCCCATTTTCACGGTTGCCTGCAGCCCACTTCCATGTATTGATTTGCACTTTTCATGTTTAAAATAAGACTTATGGCAAACAACATGGGTTCATTTTAAAATCTGCACAGATACCAGTAGTTGGATGGGGGTTGACAATGACTTAGAAAATGGTGCCTCTGAGTTTTCGAAGCATTAAGCTCCTTTGTTATTTGCTTACTCTTTTTTATGCCCATGGCTTCCAAAGCAGCAAATGAAATGAAATCAATACAATTCCCAGAAATGAGGTCTCCCATGTTTTCCCTGGCAACCAGGGGTTATAGCGTGTGAGACCAAATATTGAATTTCATCTTTAAACTGACTGACTCAAACAATTGCTTGTTTTGTGCATAACAACATATGTCCATTGACAAGAAAAAGTGTTCTGTATCAGGGGCCAACAACCAATTTTAAGGATAAATAATGGAAGAAGAATTGGGATATAGAATAAGAACAATAATTTACTGAGATCAATGTCTCTTATGAGAATCTAAATGTTAAAGAGAAGATCCGTCTTTGAAATTGAGATTGAACAGGTGAACTGGTACTACACTATGCTAGTTCTGTCAAGTAGATAGTTGGGAGACTGAAAGATGATAGCAGAGATAGTAGAATAGGAGCTGAGGACAAGACTCTTTTATGTTCATTAATTAGGTAAACATAGGTTGAACATACACCATGTACCAGACACTGTTCTAGACACTGGGAGATAAAATGTCACTACCCTGATGGCAAGAGAAACAGACACATAAACAAAGAAGATAATACACATAAACAATGAGGATAATATGATCACAACTGGTGGTGTTTTGGTGAGATGTCTCTTTAATAGAGAGAAAAGGGAGGGTGGGATGCACTTTGCAGGCAGAGAGGATAGCTCATTTGTAAGATCTGAGGGAAAAAATATACCTGTAGTTAACAATATGGTATTGTATCCTTTAAAATGTAAGAGCATAGGTCTCATGCTAAGTGTTCTTGCCAAAAAGAAAAAAACTCCAAATGACAGAAAAAAAAAAAACAAAAAACCTCACACACAAAAGAACACAAGGAAAATTTGGAGGTAATGGATATGTTTAGTACCTGGGTTACAGTGATGGTATCGTTGGTGTGTGCATATGTCCCGTATGTCCAAACTCATCAAGATGTGGACATTAAATATGTGCAGTTTTGGGGGTATGAATTATACCTCTAAAAATGTTTAAGAAGGAAGGAAGAACAAAGATCTGAGTAAGAAAGGAACCAAGTAGAGCATTTTTGTTGTTGTTGTTGTTATTGTTGTTGTTTGACACAGTGTCTCACTCTGTCGCCAGGCTGGAGTGCAGTGGCAAAATCTTGGCTCACTGCAATCTCCGCCTCCCAGATTCAAGCAATTCCCCTGCCTCAGCCTCCCAAGTAGCTGGGACTACAGGTGCGCACCACCATGCCTGGCTGATTTTTTGTATTTTGGTAGAGACGAGGTTTCAGCATGTTGGCCAGGATGGTCTTGATCTCCTGATCTCGTGGTCTGCCCGTCTTGGCCTCCCTAAGTGCTGGGATTACAGGCATGAGCCACCATGCCTGGCCCCAAGTAGAGCTTTTGAAAGAACAAGAGAAAGTCAATAAAGCCAGGGGGCCTGGTGTACAATGAGAAGGGAAAGATGGGTCAGATAAATCTGGAAGCACAAGCAGGGACTTGAGTATGCAGGATTTTGAAATTTGCTTAAGAACATTAGGAATCTGTTGAATAATTTTAAAGCAAGTAAATGATAGATGGGATGATGCTTATAACTTTTATGAATTTTACATATTAAGGTATACTTACATGTATTGAGGTATAATTTATATACCAAAAAAATCACAAATTTTAAACATCTTATTCAATAATTTTTAGTAAATTTACAGTGTTGTGCAACAGTTCTCTCAATCCAATTGAGAAGATTTAATCATGAAAATTTCCCTTTAGCATATTTACAATTAATCTCTGTTCCCTTCTCCAGCCCCAGTCAACCACTAATTTGATTTCTTATAGATTTGACATTTCTTCAGATTTCATATAAATGGAATTGTATAATATGTAGTCCTTTACTTCTGGCTGGTTTCACTTCACATAATGTTTTTGCAGTTCAGCCATGTTATAAAATGTGTTGATATTTCATTCTCTTTTATAACTGAACAGTACAGTGTATGGATATGTCATATTTTGTTTATCCATTCACCAAGTAATTGGTGTCAAAAGACAAAATTACAACAAACTTAATTAAGATCTTAATTGGCTTTATTGTGATTTCAGAACTGGGCAACACTTCATTCCATAAAATAGAATAAGTGTTCTGATGACCTGAGCAAAAGGGGTTGTGTTAGGGCTTCATGCAGAAGCTTTGTGCAAAACAATTAACATCTTAACTTAAAACAATCTATTACAGATTCAAACTTACAACTTAATTTTGATAGTATACATCGGCTTTGCTCTCCTATAGCTCCATTGCCTCCCTACTTGTGTGCTATTATTATACATATTACTTATTAGTACATTTCAAGCACATTGACACAGTTTTATGTCTTTTAACCATATGCAAGAAGAAAAGTGTTACAAACTAAAATATATTTATACTATCTCTCATATTTGCCTATGTAATTACCCTTATTAATCTTTCTATTTCTTCGTATTAGAGTTACTCTCTAGTTTGTTTTCATTTCTCCTAAAGGACTCCCTTTAGTTTTTCTTGTAGGGTAGGTTTGGTAGGGATGAATTCTCTCAGTTTTTGTTTACCTAGCACTGTCTTAATTTCTCTTTAATTTTTGTCAGATAGGTTTGCCAGATATAAAATTATTCATAAGGAGGGTGTTCCAAGATGGTTCAAAAAGGAACAGCTTCGGTCTGCAGCTCCCAGCAGGATTGATGCAGAAGACAAGTGATTTCTGCATTTCCAACTGAGGTACCTGGTTCATCTCATTGGGACTGGTTGAACAGTAGGTGCAGCCCACAGAGGGCAAGCTGAAGCAGGGTGGGGCATCGCCTCACCCGGGAAGCACAAGGGGTTGGGGGATTTCCCTTTCCTAGCCAAGGGAAGCTGTGACAGACTACATGGAAAAATGGGACACTCTTGCTCAAATACTGTGCTGTTCCCAAAGTCTTAGCAACTGGCAGACAAGGTGATTCTCTCCCGTGCCTGGCTTGGTGGCTCCCACTCCCACAGAGTCTTACTCACTGCTGGCGCTGCAGTGTGAGATCAATCTGCAGGATGGCAGCCTGGCTGGCAGAGGGGCATCCGCCATTGCTGAGGCTTGAGTAAGTAAACAAAGTGGCTGGGAAGCTCTAACTGGGCAGAGCCCATCACAGCTCAACAAGGCCTACTTCCTCTAGACTCCACCTCTGGGGGCAGGGCATAGCTGAACAAAAGGCAGCAGACAACTTCTGCAGACTTAAACCTCACTGTCTGACAGCTCTGAAGACAGCAGTGGTTCTCCCAGCATGGCACTGAGCTCTGAGAACGGACGGACTGCCTCCTCAAGTGGGTCCCTGACCCCCGTGTAGCCTAACTGGGAGACACCTCCCAGTAGGGGCCGACAGACACCTCATATAGGCGGCTGCCTCTCTGGGACAAAGCTTCCAGAGGGAGGATTAGGCAATAATATTTGCTGTTCTGCAGCCTCTGCTGGTGATACCCAGGCAAACAGGGTTGGGAGTGGAACTCCAGCAAACTCTAATAGACCTGCAGCTGAAGGACCTGACTGTTAGAAGGAAAACTAACAAACAGAAAGGAATAACATCAACATCAACAAAACGGTCATCTACACCAAAACCCCATTTGTAGGTCACCAACATCAAAGACCAGAGGTAGATAAAACCACAAAGATGGGGAGAAACCAAAGCAGAAAAGCTGAAAATTCTAAAAATTAGAGTGCCTCTTCTCCTCCAAAGGATCACAGCTCCTTGCCAGCAATGGAGCATGACTGATGAGTTGACAGAAGTAGGCTTCAGAAGGTCAGTAATAACAAACTTCTCTGAGCTAAAGGAGAATGTTCAAACCCATTGCAAGGAAGCTAAAAACCTTGAAAAAAGATTAGACGAATGGCTAACTAGAATAAACACTGTAGAGAAGACCTTAAATGACCTGATGGAGTTGAAAACAATGGCACGAGAACTTCGTGATTCATGCACAAGCTTCAATAGCCGATTTGATCAAGTGGAAGAAAGGGTATCAGTGATTGAAGATGAAATTAATGAAATAAGGTGAGAAAACAAGGTTAGAGAAAAAGAGTAAAAAGAAATGAACAAAGCCTCCAAGAAATATGGGACTATGTGAAAAGACCAAATCTACGTTTGATTGGTGTACCTGAAAGTGATGGGGAGAATGAAACCAAGTTGGAAAACACTCTGCAGGATATTATCCAGGAGAACTTCCCCAACATGGCAAGGCAGGCCAACATTCAATTTCAGGAAATACAGAGAACACCACAAAGATAATCCTCCAGAAGAGCAACCCCAAGACACATAATTATCAGATTCACCAAGGTTGAAATGAAGGAAAAAGTGTTAAGGGCAGCCAGAGAGAAAGGTCGAGTTACCCACAAAGGAAAGCCCATCAGACTAACAGTGGATCTCTCAGCAGAAACCCTACAAGCCAGAAGAAAGTGGGGGCCAATATTCAACATTCTTAAAGAAAAGAATTTTCAACCCAGAATTTCATATCCAGCCAAACTAAGCTTCATAAGTGAAGGAGAAATAAAATATTTTACAGACAAGCAGATGCTGAGAGATTTTGTCACCACCAGGCCTGCGTTACAAGAGCTCCTGAAGGAAGCACTAAACATGGAAAGAAACAACCGGTACCAGCCCCTGCAAAAACAGGCCAAATTGTAAAGACCATTGATGCTATAAAGAAACTGCATCAATTAATGGGCAAAATAATGAGCAAAAATCATAATGCCAGGATCAAATTCACACAGAAAAATATTAACCTTAAATGTAAATGGGTTAAATGCCTCAATTAAAAGACACAGACTGGCAAATTGGATAAAGAGTCAAGACCCATCAGTGTGCTGTATTCAGGAAACCCATCTCATGTGCAAAGATGCACATAGGCTCAAAATAAAGGGATGGAGGAAGATCCACCAAGCAAATGGAAAGCAAAAAAAAGCAGGGGTTGCAATTCTAGTCTCTGATAAAACAGACTTCAAACCAACAAAGATCAAAAGAGACAAAGAAGGCCATTACATAATGGTAAAGGGATCAATTCAACAAGAAGAGCTAACTGTCCTAAATATATATGCACCCAATACAGGAGGACCCAAATTGATAAAGCAAGTCCTTAGAGACCTCAAAGAGACTTAGACTCCCACACAATAATAATGGGAGACTTTAACACCCCACTGTCAATAGTAGACAGATCAATGAGACAGAAGGTTAACAAGGATATCCAGGACATGAACTCAGCTCTGCAAGAAACAGACCTAATAGACATCTACAGAACTATCCACCCCAAATAAACAGAATATTCATTCTTCTCAGCACCACATCACACTTACTCTAAAATTGACCATATAGTTGGAAGTAAAGCACTCCTCAGCAAACGTTAAAAGAACAGAAATCACAACAAACTCTCTCTCAGACCACAGTGCAATCAAATTAGAACTCAGGAATAAGAAACTCACTTAAAACCACACAACTACATGGAAACAAAACAACTTGGTCCTGAATGACTACTGGTAAATAATGAAATGAAGGCAAAAACAAAGATGTTATTTGAAACCAGTGAGAACAAAGACACAATGTACCAGAATATCTGGGACACATTTAAAGCAGTGTGTAGAGGGAAATTTACAGCACTAAATGCCCACAAGAGAAAGCAGGAAAGATCTAAAATTGACACCCTAACATCACAATCAAAAGAACTAGAGAAGCAAGAGGAAACACATTCAAAAGCTAGCAGAAGGCAAAAAATAACTAAGATCAGAGCAGAACTGAAAGAGATAGAGACACAAAAAACCCTTCAAAAAACCAATGAACCTAGGAGCTGGTTTTTTGAAAATATCAACAAAATTGATAGGCCACTAGCAAGATTAATAAAGAAGAAAAGAGAGAAGAATCAAATAGATGCAATAAAAAATGCCAAAGGGGATATCACCACCAATCCCACAGAAATACAAACTACCATCAGAGAATACTATAAACACCTCTATGCAAATAAACTAGAAAATCTAGAAGAAATGGATAAATTCCTTGACACATACACACTTCCAAGACTAAACCAGGAAGAAGTTGAGTCTCTGAATAGACCAATAACAGGCTCTGAAATTGAGGCAATAGTTAATAGCCTACCAACCAAAAAAGTCCAGGACCAGATGGATTCACAGCTGAATTCTACCAGAGGTACAAGGAGGAAATGGTACCATCCCTTTTGAAACTATTCCAATCAATAGAAAAAGAGGGAATCCTCCCTAACTCATTTTATGAGGCCAACATCATCCTGATACCAAAGCCTGGCAGAGACACAACAAAAAAGAGAATTTTAGACCAATATCCCTGATGAACATCAATGCAAAAATCCTCAATAAAATACTGGCAAACCAAATCCAGCAGCACATCAAAAAGCTTATCCACCACGATCAAGTCGGCTTCATCCCTGGAATGCAAGGCTGGTTCAACATATGCAAATCAATAAACATAATCCATATATAAACAGAACCAAAGATGAAAACCACATGATTATCTCAATAGATGTAGAAAAGGCCTTCAACAAAATTCAACAGCCCTTCATGCTAAAAACTCTCAATAAACTAGGTATTGATGGGACGTATCTCAAAATAATAAGAGCTATTTATGACATACCCACAGCAAATATCATACTGAATGGGCAAAAACTGGAAGCATTCCCTTTGAAAACTGGCACAAGACAGGGATGCCCTCTCTCACCACTCCTATTCAACATAGTGTTGGAAGTTCTGGCCAGGGCAATCAGGCAAGAGAAAGAAATAAAGGGTATTCAGTTAGGAAATGAGGAAGTCAAATTGTCCTTGTTTGCAGATGACATGATTGTATATTCAGAAAACCCCATTGTCTCAGCCCAAATTCTCCTTAAGCTGATAAGCAACTTCAGCAAAGTCTCAGGATACAAGATCAATGTGCAAAAATCACAAGCATTCTTATACACCAATAACAGACAAACAGAGAGCCAAATCATGAGTGAACTCCCATTCACAATTGCTTCAAAGAGAATAAAATACCTAGGAATCCAACTTACAAGGGATGTGAAGGACCTCTTCAAGGAGAACTACAAATCACTGCTCAATGAAATAAAAGAGGACACAAACAAATGGAAGAATATTCCATGCTCAGGGAGAGGAAGAATCAATATCGTGAAAATGGCCATACTGCCCAAAGTAATGTATAGATTCAATGCCATCCCCATCAAGCTACCAATGACTTTCTTCACAGAATTGGAATTTATTACTTTAAAGTTCATATAGAACCAAACAAGAGCCCACATTGCCAAGAAATCCTCAGCAAAAAGAACAAAGCTGGAGGCATCATGCTACCTGACTTCAAACTACACTACAAGGCTACAGTAACCAAAACAGCATGGTACTGGTACCAAAACAGAGATATAGACCAATGGAACAGAACAGAGGCCTCAGAAATAACACCACACATCTACAACCATCTGATCTTTGACAAACCTGACAAAAACAAGAAATGGAGAAAGGATTCCCTATTTAATAAATGGTGCTGGGAAAACTGGCTAGCCATATGCAGAAAGCTGAAACTGGATCCCTTCCTTACACCTTATACAAAAATTAATTCAAGATGGATTATAGACTTAAATGTTAGACTTAAAATCATAAAAACCCTAGAAGAAAACCTAGGCAATACCATTCAGGACATAGGCATGGGCAAGACTTTATGACTAAAACACCAAAGCAATGGCAACAAAAGCCAAAATAGACAAATGGGATCTAATTAAACTAAAGAGCTTCTGCACAGCGAAAGAAACTACCATCAGAGTGTACAGGCAACCTATAGAATGAGAGCAAAATTTTGCAATCTACCCATCTGACAAAGGGCCTGGGGGAGGGATAGCATTAGGAGATATACCTAATGTAAAGGATGAGTTGATGGGTGTAGCAAACCAACATGGCACATGTATACCTATGTATCAAACCTGCACGTTGTGCATATGTACCCTAGAACGTAAAGTATAATAAAAAAAATAAATTTCTTCATTAAAGGTCTTCGTCTTTCAGCCCTTTGAACATACTATCCCACTTCCTTCTGGCCTCCATGCTTTCTGATGAGAAGTCATCTGTTAATCTTAGGGAGTATTCCCTGTACATAAGCCTCTTCTATCTTGATGCTTTCAAGAATTTCTGTCTTTCAATAGGCATTTTATGATGTGTATAGGTGTGGACCTGCTTGAGTTTATCCTACTTAGAGATTTTAGAGTTTCGTACATTTATAATGTTTTTCATCAAATTTGGGAAGTTTTGATAATTATTTCTTCAAATATTTTTTCTTGCTTCTTTGTTTTTTCTTCTTCTTTTCTGAGATTTCCATTATGCACATGTTGCCATACTCAGTGATGTCCCACAGTTTCTGAGGCTCTGTTAATTTTTCTCCAATCTTTTTACTTTTTGTCCCTCACATTGCATAATCTCAATTGACCTGACTTCAAGTTTACTGATTCTTTCTTTTGTCAGTTCAAATCTGCCATTGAGTCCCATAACCACTTCAGCTTTTGTACTTTTCAACTGTGGAATACTTATGTATATTGATTCTCATCATTCTTATGCTTTTCTTTAGTTCTTTAGATGTAGTTTCCTTTCTTTCTTTAAATATATTTATAATAGATGATTTAAAGTCTTTGCCTATTAAGTCCAACATTTGGGCTTTATCTGGGAAAATTTCTATTGACTGATTTTTTTTTTCCTGCATATGCACCATACTTTTTCTGTTTGTCTCACAATTTTAGTTTTTGTTAAATTAGACATTTTAAATAGCATAAGTAGTAACATTGGAAATCCAATTTTTTTTTCTCCAGGGTTTGTTGTTGTTGCTTTAGTTGATGGTTTGTTTAGTGACTTTCCTGGACTAATTTTGTAAGGTCTGTATTATTTGTCGTATATAGTTTTGCCACTGTGTGAATAGTCTGGCACTGTAATGTAGTCTTTGCTCAGTTATCTTAGTGGCCAGATAATTATTGGACTGAGACTTTCTTAAATTCTTTGAACAAATTAGCCTCCTAATCTGTGTAGGGTTTCTGTGTGTTTGTTGAGGCATACCTTCAATGCTGAGTTAGGCAGTTTACCGCTCAGCCTTAGCTTATACTCCCTGTTTGAACAGAGCCTGGAGGTTAACCAGAGGGAAAAGATTAGAGCCTTCTTCGGTTTTTCCTGGGCATAAGCACAATCTGCACATGTATGTGGCCTTACAGATTCTCACAAGCTTATAAACCCCCTATGGCCATCTCATTCCTCAGTTTTTCCCTTTAAGTCTTCTGTGGAGCCTCTTGTAAGTCTCTACAGATATTAATACTTGAAACTGCTGTGATATTAAATAATTGCCCTGATTGCTTTTGACAAATGACCTAGGAATAGGACTGTTTGCACAGAGTGAGCTTTAAATTAGGTCAAATAAACATAAACTCTAAGAATGGAGCTATTGAGAACATTTTCAGACAGGTCAACTAGTATTAGTTCTCAGGGTATGGGGCTTTTTAGAAATGCCAAATATCAATTTTTCCCCATCTGTTGGCTGCTGGTCTGCTGTCTTTTGCAGCTCTCATGGTTGTGAGACTATTTATTTTCAAGGTTGTTGCAGAGCTGGAGATGGGGTAATAGAAATAGGGTAAGTTAAAATGTCACAAAACTCATTGTTCTTACTGAGATTCACTTTTTTTAAAAAAGTAGCAAACACTCCTTGGATTTTTGTAAGACTTTGCCTAATATCCTGAATTCTGAGAAAGTTGATTTATTCAAATTTTGCCAAGGTTTTTATTGCCTTTATGAAGGAATAGAATTTTCAGGTTCTTACTCAAATATGCCAAGAACATGCCTCCTTAATTAAGCATTTTGTGGTACAATGGTTTTTCATTTTAATGACATTCAATTTATCAACTTTATACTTTTTTGGATCATGCTTCTGATATTGTTTTGGAAATATCGTTTTTAATTTCTAATAAATATCTATGTGAAAATATTAGATAGTTGGATATTTGAGTGTGGAGTTCTGATTAAATATCCAGGATGGGGATATCAATTTTGGAGTCATTAGTAAATAGATGTGATTGAATGGGGCCATAAAAGCAATAGGTAGACAGAGAAGAGAACAGAGTTTAAAGATCATGACCAGTGGCATTCCAACATGAAAAGGAAAAGGATATGAGGAAGAGCCAGCAAAGAATCCCACGAAGAGTTCAGAGAATGGAAATCCAGGTAACTGTGTTGGCTTGGCAACCGAAAGAAGAAAGTGTGTGAAGGAAGAAAGAGTGATGAAGCCTATCAAATTATTTTCCTGGGGCTAATAAGACAAGGTTGGCCATGTCTTTGGCAATGTGGCACTTATTAGTTTTGGTGGGATGTTGGAGGATAGCACCTACAGGAAGTT